>NC_000013.11:77802045-77953560 GCF_000001405.40 Homo sapiens | reverse complement strand
AACAGATAGTAGAAAGCCCAATCTCTTTACTCGTCTAAAAAATGCCATGTTCATTCTGGTTGTAGGTGGCTAATCCTTCTCTCTTCATGCATTCCAATTCTACCAGCCTTTTAAGACTGATTCATTTCCCTGAATGATTGTTTTATTTTTCGATTTCAAATAAATGGAAAATAAAAGATATATATATATATTTATATTTTAATCTTTAAAAATACAAATACAGTATACATATGTAATATATATCTTCCACCTTAGTAACTCTATGGTATTTATTTAATTGGACCAACTTAATAATGTCAGTTACTCAGGAACTGGTCATTTGAATATTCATAATGAAAGGACAGCTCTTTGTCATCTCAAAACTAGTTTTTGGCATTAAATCTAAACCAAGTTTGGTAAATGCTACCTTTCTGAGGTGTTGTTTGGGGTAGTGGTTTGATTTTTGGTTGTTTCAAAGCATTTCTAAGGATGTACAACTAAAAGATAAAGACATTGGAAAATATAAGATGGTTGTTCTTTCTTTCTCTCACAGTTTGGAATCCAGTGTCTTGAGATGCATTTGGTTACTGTAGACTAAAGCTGCCTAGAAACTGGTGAGCTGGCTGGCTCCCTCAGCATTTACTCTGCAGTCATTGTCCCTTGTACAACGCTTTCCATAAAGCCCTGCTTGTGTTAACCTCAAAGGAATGCAGTTTGCCTGGGGTCAAGGCCTCCACAGCACATCCATGAAAATCAGCAATGTGATGGGGTATACAATATCAATCTACAGAGCAATACAAGGGCCCCTTGATAGGATAAACAACATCTTAGGTCCAGGGCATCATGAGATTCAGGGTAAAATTGATTTCTACTTAAAAACATATTCACATTATCTAATAGAGGGTCTCTGTTCCCATTAAATTTTTTCTTCAGCCACAGTATTTTTTACTTTAAAAACCCTAAATATTGTAGTACTTTAATTTTTCTTGGGTTAAATTAGCTTTCTATATATATGTCAGAGGCATTCAAACCAGAGCAACTCCATTTTGAATGAGGGCTAGGAAAATGAGGCTGGGACTTGCTGAGCTGCATTCTTAGAAAGTTAGGCATTCCTGGCCTCCAGATGTTTGCAGTTAAGGGAACAAACTAATAATGTTTATTAAACAGACTCAGACTTAGGAGTGTCCACATATCCCAATATCTGGAGAACAGAAGCATTCCTAATTTTGCTTTAAAGATAATAACACTGATTTTTTTGCAAAATATAGTAATGAAGAAACTTAATCCTTTATCACAAACCCTTGTAGCAGAGCACATCTCCCCCACATATATAAGCACTGTAGCCAGGGTGGATGCATTCCTTCTCCTACTTTCGGGAACGTCCTCCTCTTGTCTATGGAGTAGCTGTTCTTTCACCACTTTACTTTCTTAATAAACTTGCTTTTACTTTGCGCTCCCTAAATTCTTTCTTGCATGAGATCCAAGAGCCCTCTCTTGGGATCTGGATCGGGACCTCTTCCCTGCAACATTTCTGGTGACCATGAAGGGATTGCAGTGGGGAAACCCCCGACCCAAAGGCTAATTTTGGGTAAGTAGGGTTGTCCGGTAACATATTTCTGGCAAACCACCAAATGGATGATACTGAAGAGACCCCGAACCCAAAGGAAATAGACTGCAGCACTGATTGGACGACTTTGGGTAAGTGGGGTGCATACTTGAGTAAAGAATGGGATTGGGTTAGAGGCCCAATTTAGGGGAGTTACAGTCTCTCCTAAAGACTAAGAGGGTTAAAGCCTCCTCTCAATAAAAGGCACGGACACTTGACAGACCTTGGGTTAGAGGCCCAACTTGAGAGGTTAGAATCACTTCTAAAATTTAGGGGATTAGAAGCCCCTCTCAGTAAAGTCCCTTTTGGCTAAGAACGGGTTTGACACCACGGGCTATGCTGTTCGTATTCATCAGCCTTGTTCTCTTTGCTGCACCAATCAATTTCTTGGTTGCTGTCTCTGTTTCACTGTCATTTTCAGGAGACTTTACTTAACTGTATTTGAACTTATTCTTCTCCTGTGCCCCTCCCAATTTCTGTCCATTAGTTTGTGAAACATTGGGAACAAAAAGCATTGAAGGCTCCATCTCTAAAATTGCTGATTGAGATTTGATATTTAACAGCTACAGCCAATAAGATTAGATAGATGTGGTTATGTTTTGTTGTCACTATGCTGACTAGGTGTGATTGAGAAGCACTAAGATGGTAATCGGGGGACTTTTCTCCTTGCTGTTTTGTTTCATTTTGCAAACTGAAAAAACAAAACAAAACGACAACAAAAAAAACACTTCTTTCCTTCTTAGATTCAGGCAGACTGGCTTTGCTTATCCAATCCACCCTACTGCTATTGCCCAAAACCTGCTTGCTCTGGTCATTCCCATCTAAATCCTTCTCATTTCCCTTGCCTTATTAAGCATTTTTGTCAAAGTCCATGTTGTGGTTTATCTAAGATTCATGGCTCAGCTCACCTATATTATTTGGGTAATGTGAATAAGAGAATTCAATTTTCGACAGGGATCCCCTCATTAATGTAGCTGGCCTTAAAAACCTCTCTTATCCTTTTTAGTGGAACTTGGCCAGTGGCAATACAATCTCGCAGGTTTGGAACTTTTCTTTCAAAAATCACCTGCCTCCTTCATGGGAACCGTGGCATCAATTCCAAAGAACTCACCAGTAGGATGTATTCTTGAACACTGGGACCAGATTAAACTGAATGGGCTTAAGATGAGAAAACTGGTGTTTCTATGTAATACTATTTGGCCTTGTTATTATTTGTAAAAACAAGAGAAAGAGCCTCCTACTGGAACTACAGTCTTTAATACTGCACTTCAACTTGATTTGTTTTGTAAGCTGGAGGGAAACTGGGATGAAATACCATATGTTCGAGCATTTTTGCTGCTCAGTCAGGATAAAACCCTGCAGCAGGTGTGTGCATGCTTGATGAGAGGTAAAGAAGAAAAAGAGCTAGACATACTAGGTGATTCTTTAATGCAACCCCCTACTGCCCCAGTTTAGGGGCACTTTTGGGTGGAGCAGAGCCTCCTTCTGTCAGCTCTGAAGGTTCAGATGTGTTGGTCCTTTCTCCCTTCAGCCCACCTGAATGTTCTATTGGAAACCCATTGTCCCCTATTCCTTACCCATCTAGTCCCACACTATACCCACCACTCCCTGAGGAACTCAGCCCAGCAAGTACTACTTGTAGTGGAGCCTCCTATCAACCTCCAAAGGGAAACCTTTGTCCACTTAGAGAGGTGACAAATGGGGAAGAAGTCACTGTGAGAGTACATGTTCCCTTTTCTATGTCTGATTTGGCTGTATATAAAGAGGAGTTTGGTCATTTCTCTGAAGACCCGGGAAAATTCATAGATAAGTTTGAGAAATTAACTCTGACGTATAGTTTAACTTGGCAGGATCTGCATGTTTTATTGTCTCTGTGTTGTACAGTGGAAGAGAAACAACACATTTTGGGGGCAGCTAGGACCCATGCACACGAGGTATTGGCTTGCAACCCAAACCATGATATATATCAGGCAGGAGGTATAGCAGTTCCAGATCAAGATCCAGAGTAGAACTATCAAAGGGACAGTGAGGACTTGGGGAGGAGAGGTTATATGGTCACTCTTTGGTTGGAAGGGATGAGAAATGTATGAAAAATCCTGTTAACTATGGGAAGGTTAAGGAAGTTTCTCAGGGCAAAGAGGAAAATCTAGTTTTGTTTCAAGGGCATTTAGTTGAGGCAATCCTGTGCTTTGTGGGATTACTCACAGATCCTGTGCTCTGTATCTGCCCCTTTAACATGCTGGTCCAATTGTCTGGAACACTGTCTCCTGCCTACCTGCCAGGTAGGTTCATATTTGGCCTTCAAGACTTCAAGCATTATTTCAGTAGCTTTTTTTCTTTCATCCCCAAGCGGACTTAGATACCTTGGTTTCCGTGTTCCCACAGAACTCAGTGTGTCAATTAAGGTCTAAGGCTGAGTTGAAGTGGAAGAGATTTACTGGGGTAAAAGTTTTTGGAAGACAAAGGGCAAAAGGTGCAGGAGAAAGCAAGTAGAGGCTACAGACTGTGATGCATGTCTAAAACCTATAAGAAGATAGAGTAAAGGTGGACAAGTCTCAAACTGCAGTGCGAAGTCTTGGCCAGACAACAGGGAACCCTCATCTCAGACTGCCGTAGAAGAACTTAGCATTGGGCAGTACCAAGCTCTATCCATTCTGCTATGTTCAGTCATTAACAAGGGCTGTCCAGAAAGAGTGTAGCATCAGCACAAATGAATGCTACAAGAGATCCTGAATTTGCTGCAACTGGAATCTGTCACCTAAATTCCCTCCTTGTTGTAGATTTTCTCTTGAAGAGAAATCTAAGTGACATACCTGTGTGGCTGCATATTCTGTAATATCATAGACTGTATATTGTCACTCATTGTTTACTTATCTTTCTTAATCCTGAAGTGCCTTAAAAATAAACTAAATTTTAAAAATCAGTGATCAATTTAAAAGTATTTGTTAATTTTTGAGATGTGTAGACATTATCTTACAAATCTTCATATTTGCAGATAAATGTTAAGTAAGCGTTTTCCAAATAAATGTGTGAATAAATTAACACAAGAAAAAGCAGTGCAGCAATCTTTTATGTTTTACTTCCCAAGGTATTTTCTTTAGCTTTGTGAGAACATCATAAACCATTAAGAAAGTATATTTTCTACTATGACTTCCCTTTGTATTAATTTCATCTCACCAACTAATAGCTGTGGAATTTTTTGCAGTAAATGGTAGAGAAGGGACGCTACAAGTCTTGAGTTGGAATAAAAGAAACAGAATATCAATATTCTTATAATAAGGATATCAAACTCATGTGCATGTGAGTACAATAGCTATTCTAAACCTTCATCTCATTCTTCACTCCATTCGACAGCCTTGATAAGCTCCCATTTCACTGAGAAACTAAAGCCATCTATCAGGTGTGAATTTCAGGTCTCCTCAATGTCCATCATCCATTTGCAAAGCCTCTTAAAGACCACTAGTATATGAAAACATGGAGAATTGTAGACGTATCAGATATTAAGCACCTTACCATGTGCCAGTATGGTATCAAATGTAGTACCAAGCACTGCACTGTGCAATTCTCCCCAAGCTCAAATAAAGACATGGATCTCAGGGAGGTTATGTGTTAATCCAAAGCCAGATTCTATTTTTAGAGCAAAGATTTGAAGCTGACTTTATTTTACTATCAAACTCATGCACGTTAACCCATAACATCATTAACTCTAGCTTTAAAATTCCTCTTTGAAAAAAAAATTCCTATTTGATCCCCAAGGAAATCTAGTTCAATCAAAAGTAAATCTATCTTCAACCTTCCTAGAAGACTTTTGTCTAGCACATCAGAGACTTTTGGGAGAATTGGACTGAATATACTTCAGAGGTCACTCTGAAGGCAAAATTGTTTGAATATGACTTGTAAGGCACCATTAAGTAATCTAATTAAGGCTTAGATATTTTAAGAATAAAAGCAGGTAACTATTTTCTCACAATAATTACCCACTCCCTTCTAATTGCTATTGAGAGAGTTAAAAGTTCACCATATATATTTGATTGAGATCTATTTAGAAAGTTTCATAGAGCACAGGGCACGGTGGTTGGCACCTGTAGTCCCAGCTACTTGGGAGGCTGAGGCAGGAGGATTGCTTGAGGCCAGGAGGTTGAGACCAGCCTGAGCAACATATTGAGACCCTGTCTCTACAAAAAAAAAAAAAAAAATTAATTAGCTGGGTGTGGTGGTACGCACATATAGTCCCAGTTGCTCAGAAGGCTGAGGCAGGAGGATTGCTTGAGCCCAGGAGCTCTGCGCTGTAACATACTATGGTCATCGGGTGTCTACACTAAGTTTGGCATCAATATGGTGAGCCCCCAGGAGATTGCCTAAGGAGAGGTGAACCAGCCCAGGTTGGAAACGGAGCAGGTCAAAACTCCCGTCTTGATCGGTAGTGGGATTGTGCCTGTAAATAGCTATTGCACTCATCTCTAAAAAAAATAAAAATAAAAATAAAAAGACAAAGTTTCAGAGAGCTAAAATGAATTTGATTTATCTTTTAAGATGTTGAGGCCAGGCACGGTGGCTCATGCCTGTAATCCCAGCACTTTGGGAGGCCGAGGAAGGTGGATCACCTGGGGTTGGGAGTTCAAGACCAGCCTGCCCAACATGGCAAAACCATGTCTCTACTAAAAATAGAAAAAAAAAAAAAACAGATGTTGAGGTGGTCATCCAATAGGAAATCTAATAAAAACCAACCTCTTTATGTTTAGATGATTGCAAAAACAGTGCCAATAAAATGATAATTAGTATTTTAGTGATAATGATTAGTGATCATTATTACTTTATATGTGGTCATTATAATAAAGGGCTCAAATAAGTCCCCAGTTTAAATATACATTCTTCAATCTGTTACACTTAGTGTTATGAGCAATGTCAACATTAACAGTAACTTGCTGTTTAGAAAAGCTTATTTAATTAGGCTAAGGCTTTTGAAAAACAGTCATAGATTTCATTCTTAATCCTGTACCCCCATAGGACTTGTTTGAAATTTTTCTCAAGTAAATACTTGCTTTAAAGAACCATTTCTCACCCTTGCCCCTTGGAAGTGTGGAAATAAATCATTTGTATAAACTTGAAACTGTCTAGGGTGATTTTTATGGAAATAACAATGGCAGTTCAACAATGGAAGTGAGGGTGGGAGTACAAACTGTTATAAATACATCACTAATAACGTCAGTGTATTTCCCTTGTCTTCCACAACTATCTCTGGGGAAATAAAAACACTGTTACATGCTCACTTGAATTCCTGTCATTGTGCTTTGTGGATCAGTCTCTCTAGTCTCAAACTTGCAGCCTGTGGCTGAGGTTATCATCTAGCCTGTCACATGGAGCCACCAACATAGAGTTGAAATCACTGGAAATGGGTTTTTTTTTCTCTTATAATAGAAAAGGCAAATGATTCATGAGCTCAGCCACAAATCAGAGTGAACGAAAAACAACTGGGTAGTAAGGCAAATCTTAGCTGCAAAACTAGAGATTTCCAAAGGAAACTATATTAAATATAAACCTTCTGTATAATTGTATTTGTTTCAAGCTTCTAAACCATTGAAAGTAATGACATAGCTAGCTTTACACCATGCCAAATGCATCCATTCCTTCCGTATCTCCTCTGTACCCTTTTCCCCCCTTCCCTCTCATCCTCTAACATTCAAGAGAAAAGCTGAAGACAGCAAACCCCAGAATGGGATTCTATACTATAGAATATAGGTGTAGCTTATCCTAGGAGATTTTTGGCTTTTTCTTTAGATAACTGTTCTATAGAGAAACAGGTGTGCAATTTATCTACACTTCTGAATTTACTTTCTGTGGTTTTTCTACACGTATATCACAGTTCGGATACTTGTGACTTTTAAGGGAATCTTATTTTGTAATTATTCATGCCTCAGACATGAGACAGGATTCACGGCATGGTAAATTTTTCAAGGAATACTGAACAATGCCAAACGGTGGCAAAGCCTGACTATCTTTGTGTGATAATACCCACATCTGTGTCACATCTGAGTCTGATTCAGATACCTGCTTTGTCTCTTCGGATTGTGTGTTTTTTTTGTTTTTTTTTTTTTTTTTGGTTTTTTGCATGGCTTAGAGTATTTTCTTGAAAGCTGGATATAATGTATCAGATAATAGGAACTAAGGGAAATAGGCCTTTAGTGTGAGGTTTTATATTAATCTGTTTAGGAATTTAGCTGGGCTTAATATTTGCTATAGCTGTAGGTGCCAGAGGCTTCCAATTTTTCTAGTGTCCTTATTTTTATGTCTTTTGTTGATTTAAGCCTTCCGTAAGTACAATTCCTCAGAGAGACTCTCAGTCCTGCAGCCCTCTCAGCTACAAGTCATTGTGAAACTGGAATACAGTTTATGTGGCTTCTGCTCCAGGTAAGCAGATATTGGCCAGGACCCTGGATTTGCCTTTCGCTCCAGATTTTGTTGTGACCATTTTTCCCTGTGATCTCAGTTCTCTGATAGGTCCAAGAAAAGTTGTTAATTTTCAGTTTGTCTCACATTTTCTTGTTGTAAGAATGGGAATGACGACTTCCAGGCCATTTACAAAATATTGGTGCACACACCAGAAGTCCACATCACTGTCTTGGGAATCAGTGAACAGGTTCACTTATTTGTTCAATCAAAAAGAATCTAAGTGATTGCCCAAAATCTTCCTAGAGTTTTAGTTTAGTAATTGTCTTGGATTTTTTTTAGCAATAGCAAGAAAGTTCTGTATATTTTCACAACTAAAAATAAAATCAGCAGTACCAAAACATAAAATGTACACATGTACACCTCAGTGAAGCCATGCAACCCTGAGACTGAAATTGTCAACATAGGACACTAGTACCGCTGCCACCTGTCATAATCCAACATCTTTGTAACATAAAGGGCATTGAGTTCACAGTAACTCTAAGGTATTTACACAGTCATTCAACAGCTACACCCCCTCCAAGATTTCACACTTGGAAATTTCCCTAAAAAAACACAATTACCTACCAACTCTTCCATTTCTTTACCCCAGGCATCCATAACAAAAGTGTTTTACTACTAACTTTAAAACTTTTCTCCCATGTCTATTTGTTAGGTGAAATTCATCTTAGCTTCTGGGATTGGCTCCTACTCAACATGCAAGCACTAATCCTCTAACATGCAGGTAAACTGGACAACTTGCTGTTCACTGAAATATGCCTTGGAAGCTTTATTCATGCAGCTTCCACTGCCTGGAAACACTACTCCCTCCATTCTGCCTTTAGAAATCCTGTTCATTTTTTTTAAATTAATGATAAGAACTTCACAAATTATACCTAACTCTATGTGAGAGTTTCTATCTTTGAACTATACAGCTCTTTATGTACGCCTCTATTATGCATTTACTATATTCTGACTTCCGTTGGAATTTATGTGCACCTATTTATCTCCTCTAGTAAATGATTTCTAATTTCTTTTAGGCTGTAGCTTATACATGATGCCTATACATGGTTAAAAAAAAAACTTGTAAATATAATGCATGAAGGGAGGAGATCAAGTTTGTTTTGGGAGCAGTGAGTTACTAAAGTTCATTCAATTATATAAACTCAGAGTTTATAGGAATCACACACATTCAAGACAACATATTAGATAGATGCATTCAGGGTATAAATGTTACTTATAACCAGGCCCTTATGTTAGATTGGTTCAATATTCAAGACCAAGAATCTTCTAATGCACTTTGAGCAATATTCCCCATAGAGCATTATTGCTTACACTGAGCCTCATTGGCCATCTTTATGTCTGGTCATACAACCTGGTAAAGCTTCCATGAAATCTGTATTTTATCATCCAGAAAAAAACATGGAGTTTGAGATTTTAATGATTTTACTTTGCAATTTGTCCTCCAGAATGTTTAAAGGTGAAACAAGACTTAGCACCCCCATGAACTTCTCTATGTAGATTCTGTTAAGTGGTCATTTCGCTTGACTATAACTACCTCAAGTATTGAGGCTTTACTTTCCTGGGTTTTCTGAAATTTCCTTTATCTCTCCCAAATTTATTTCAATATGAAAGAAAAGGACTATATTATAGAAAGTTAGCAAAGTGCTGGTATCTGAATTTGTAGGTTAAAATTTTCTAGAAAAATCTATTTACTTATTTAAAAAAAAGAATATGGCACCTGAACTCAGAAGTGTGGGTATATTTCTGATTGCTGAAGTCAGTAAACAAAAAATGAAGGTGAAAAAGCCAATAGAAGAGAAACTAAGATAATGAAGAGGAAGTTGAAGTTTCCATGAGGAAAGGCCAAAAACAATTAGATTTCATAAGTCAAGAATGCTAAAGGCTGAAATGAGGATGACATAAAAACATATAAAACCATTAAGTTATTGAGTACAGCATACCTAGCTGAATGATTAGATTTTAAAACAATAAAACTAGGGAATATCTTTCGAAGTTTAGTTGAAATCAGAAGCAGTAGTACTTACGGGATGCTTAAACAGGCAGTTACTTCAGTTTGTAAGGCTACATGACATTTAATAGGCTAAAGCAGAGTTTCAGTAAAGCAATAGCTAAGTTCTAAGGATTATAAAGAGAGAGATGAAATGCATGAGTATATGAGAAACCTCCATCATTAATAGAGATTATCCATAACATTTAGACTTCTTTAATGTCATGGGTTTCAACAAGAGTTGAGACTCTACGTGAGCATTTAACAGGATGAGATACATAAATTCTAATAGATTCAAGTCTGTCTGTGTACCAGAGATAATTTAGGTAAGTCAATTACTATATCCACACAGCACATATTGCTCTACAGGAAAGGGTTTTATACATTTTCAGGCAATTTAAATCAAAGAATAGCTTTTATGGAAGGAGACAATAGACTCTGACTGGAATGTAATGACTACAATATGGAGAATAACTTAAGTCAGGAATTGATTTCTATTTTAGACTGATATTGCCTTAAATGGCAGGCTAAACGTTTCTGTCAAAAAGAGAAATTTTATTCTAGTAAAAACAATTTATGATGTATTAGGCAGATCTTTGCAAATACATAATATTCCCTGAACTAATATTATCCATTACTATAAGTAGAGGGAAGTACTTTAAGAATAATTGAATCTGTTAAGAAAAAGCCTATATAATTTAGAAAACAAATAATAATCGCTTAAGAACAATGTTCTTGAAAATGCTTCTTTTCTCTATTTCATTTTTTTCATTGATTTGAATCAGCAGCTTATGAGTCATATAGATATTTTTAATTAATAGAAAAATTATAAATTATGTAGTTTTATCTAGATGTTAGATATGGGTAAATACAGTTATTTCTAAGGTTGAATAAATTATTGTTTGCATATTGCCAATTGGCCTTTATTTGGTGTAAATATTGCTATAAATGATTCAAATCGTCTCCCTTATTAATTGGGTGCAATGTGATGCAATCTAAGAAAAGACGAAATATTATGAAAAGTCTGTTTGGCATATCTGAGAAGTATGTATAATCTAGTGGCTAATGTGTGGGCTCTGGATTTAGGTTTCTTGGCTTCATCTCTGCACAGCTTCATTTCTGTGCAGGCTTAGGCAACATATTTAACCTCTTTCCCTCTAAAATGTTTCATCTGGAACTAACCATCTTTCAGCGTTGTTGTGAAGATTAAATGAGGTAATACAGAACACCAGAAACAAGGCTTGTTTGTAAACACTTTATAAATGTAAGATATTATTTTTCAAGTTTTTTCCTCTTCATAATATAATACCAAACAGTAAGGAAGCACTTTATGAAATAATGTTTAAATTTTTTTTTCCCAGACAAGGCTTTTATTTCAGGGATTGTGCTCAAGTGCAAGGGAGACAGCAGAGGGAAGGCACAAAGATTCAATAGCTGGTTCCCTGAAAAAGGTGGTAGGGATTTTATTTTTGTTTAGACAAAGCACAAGAATTGACATCAGAGGTAAGCACATGACAGGCAGAACATTTGCAGGTCAGCATAGCTGGTTGCAGTGGTTAATAATGTTTAAATTTTATCAGACTGCTTCATAATACTGACAAAGCCTTCTATTCTTCCATCTCTCTGCACTGATGTTTATGAATAGTAACAAAATACTAAACATCTCCTATAACTCCTTACTCAAAATGGTACTGTATATAACTCAGTATTCTCGACAAGGCTTTTGCTTTATTTAAGCATTAGTTCAACAAATGTTGAGTGAATATTTATTATGTGCCAAACAGATTCCAAAATATAAAACAACTGTCCCTGTCCTACTGTCCAACTTAGAAAACTTCCATCACCACCACTCCTCATCCTTTTGAAAAAGTGTTAAACCATCGTTCTGTTCCACCTTTCCAATGGCCTGTGCCCCCTCATTTAACCTGTTAAGAGAAACTGCCTCATCTGTAAAATAGATATGAAGCTGCTGTGAGGAAAATGAGCTAGCTAATAGAGAAGAACCTTGTGAACTTATGAAAGTGTTAGTTATTTGATAAATCACTAGAAGAATCTGGTCATTATGTAAGTTAAAGAGTAGATGATAGTGCAATACAAGTAACTGTGGCTCCTTGTGAACTCTGGTCATTTACATTTATTTCCTCAGAACAGAGAATAGACAAACCAACCATACCATCCCTTCCCTTCTAGTAAGACTTTTAGAAATAATTATGAGTGCCTATTGGTAGTTAAAAAAAATTATCCAATGACTTTCTTAATTCTTATCACACTGAACCTCTGGACTACTTCTTGAATCTCTTCCCTCCCTTGGCTTCTCTGATTCTTCTCTTTTTTATTTGATTCTTCCTTCTCAGTCTTTTAACGGGATAGTTTCTTTACTCACTCCCTGTACAAATTAATTGTGGATAATTCCCAAATATGCATCTGTGTCTAAGAACTATATTATGAGCTTCAGGCTCACATTTCCAGGTTTCAACCAGATATCACACCTAGGTATCTCCCAGGCATCATAAATTAAACTAGACCAAAACTGAAATCATTGTAGCTTTCCAAAAATTTCTAGGATTCCTGTCTTAATCAATAGTATAAAACATGGATCCATGCCAGAATGGCATCTAGGATCCTGTTCCCATCCCTTTCAACTCGCACACAGAGACCACATCTTGTGAATTCTGAATCATAAATTATACGCTTAACCTCCTTCCATCTCCCCTTCAAATATTCCAAGCCAAAGTCTCTTTATCTTGCTCATAGACTGTGGCAATTTTAACCCAACTGCTCTTTGTGCATCATGACCTACACACACACACACACACACACACACACACACACACACACCCAATTCATCTTTTCCTTGGCTTTGAATGAGATTTTCTGACAAACTAATCTGTTCATAACACGCAGTGTGAGTATACATGCTTCTCATGCCTAAGAGGTAAACCACAGTCATCTTAAGTTGGTGTATTAGAGCTTCCTGTTTCTCCACGTCTACTTTGCCAGACTTATTGCACTAAAACTCCATCTTCTAGTTGCCATTCCAGGCATTCTGAGATTAAATTTCCCAGGAAGATGAGAGGGTTTTATGTATTTCAAAATTTTATGAAGGTATTCCATTTTTCTGAAATCCCCTATCTCCATTTTTACCTGGAGAACATCTACTCATATTTTATAGCTGAGCCCCATTATCACCTTCTCTATGAAAAAAAAAAATTAAACTCTTCTCTAGGTTAAATTTAACCATTTCCTCTTTTATGTCTTCCCTCTGTCCTTTTCATATCTTTACCACACACCTCCAATGAATCTCTTATAGTGAAGCTCATATGTCATTCCTCTTTGTTCATTCAACCCCCAGTGCCTAGAATAGCACCTGGAATACAGTGGTTAATTAATATTCTTCGCTTGCACAAATGTCTGAATAACTTAACAAATGAATAACTGTATTAATAGTGAATACAACCATGACATGAATTTTATAAGAACATGGGTCTGTACATAAGAATTTTTATTTTTATTTTATTTATTTATTTATTTATTTATTTATTTAGAGACAGAGTCTCACTCTGTTGCCAGGCTGGAGTGCAATGATGCCATCTCGACTCGCCGCAACCTCCACCTCCCGGGTTCCAGTGATTTTCCTGCATCAGCCTCCCAAGTAGCTGGGACTACAGGCACGTGCCACCACGCCCAGCTAATTTTTGTATTTTTAGTGGGGACAGAGTTTCACCATGTTGGCCAAGATGGTCTTGATCTCTTGACCTTGTGATCCACCCACCTCAGCTTCCCAAAGTGCTGGGATTACAGGCATGAGCCACTGCGCCCAGCCCATACATAAGAATTTTAAGTCCAGCATGCTACCATAATATAAAAAACATCTAGGAAAGAGAATCAGATATTTTCGTTGAGTGCTTACAATGTATGAATCCTTTAGCATCATTATCTCATTTAATTTGCAAGCAATTTTTAAGATAGGCATCATGGAACACCTACAACATGCAAAGCAGTTTTCATTCATGACTTCATTTAATCTTCCCAATGAATTTATGAAGAAAGTATTATTTTGGCAAATACACACATGACAACACTAAAACTCAAATTAGAGAATTTTCTAAAGATCAAACAAGTTTAAAGTGCCAAATTTAGGATTCCAACTATTTCTCTGTGTCAGGCCTTTGAGCCCAAGCTAAGCCATCATATCCCCTGTGACCTGCACGTACACATCCAGATGGCCAGTTCCTGCCTTAACTGATGACATTCCACCACAAAAGAAATGAAAATGGCCTGTTCCTGCCTTAACTGATGACATTATCTTGTGAAATTCCTTCTCCTGGCTCAAAAGCTCCCCTACTGAGCACCTTGTGACCCCCACTCCTGCCTGCCAGAGGACAACCCCCCTTTGACTGTAATTTTCCTTTACCTACCCAAATCTTATAAAATGGCCCCACCCCTATCTCCCTTTACTGACTCTCTTTCTGGACTCAGCCCACCTGCACCCAGGTGATTAAAAGCTTTATTGCTCACACAAACCCTGTTTGGTGGTCTCTTCACACTGACGTGCATGAAATTTGGTGCTGTGACTCAGATAGGGGGACCTCCCTTGGGAGATCAATCCCCTGTCCTCCTGCTCTTTGCTCTGTGAAAAAGATCCACCTATGACCTCGGGTCCTCAGAACCACCAGCCCAAGGAACATCTCACCAATTTTAAATCGGGTAAGTGGCCTCTTCTTACTGTCTTCTCCAACCTCTCTCACTATCCCTCAACCACTTTCTCCTTTCAATCTTGGTGCCACCCTTCAATCTCTCCCTTCTCTTAATTTCAATTCCTTTTATTTTCTGTTAGAGACAAAGGAGACACGTTTTATCTGTGGATCCAAAACTCCAGCGCTGGTCATGGACTTGGGAAGGCAGCCTTCCCTTGGTGTTTAATCATTGCAGGGATGCCTCTCTGATTATTCACCCATGTTTCAGAGGTGTCTGACCACGCGGGGACGCCTGCCTTGGTCATTCACCCTTAGCGGCAAGTACCACTTTTCTGGGGGGTAAGAACCCCCCAACCCCTTCTCCTTCACCCTTAGCAGCAAGTACCACTTTTCTAGGGGACAAGAACCCCCCAACCCCTTCTTTCTGTGTCTCTACCCCTTCTCTGCTTTTCTGGGGGCAAGAACCCCCCAATCCCTAATTTCCATACCCCGACCTCTTATCTCTGTGCCCCATCCCTTATTTCTCTGCTGTGACCTCTAATCTCTGCGCCCCAACCCCTTATTTCTGTGCCCTGACTCCTTTCCCGCTTTTCTGGAGGGTAAGAACCCCCGGACCCTTTCCCTCTGTGTCTCTACTCTCTCTTTTCTCTGGGCTTGCCTCCTTCACTATGGGCAACCTTCCACCCTCCATTCCTCCTGCTTCTCCCTTAGCCTGTGTTCTCAAGAAATTAAAACCTCTTCAACTCACACCTGACCTAAAACCTAAATGCCTTATTTTCTTCTGCAATGCCGCTTGACCCCAAACAAACTTGACAGTTGTTCCAAATAGCCAGAAAATGGCACTTTCAATTTTTCCATCCTACAAGATCTAAATAATTCTTGTCGTAAAATGTGCAAACAGTCGAAATGCCTGACATCCAGGCATTCTTTTACACAACAGTCCCTCCCTAGTCTCTGTTCCCGATGCAGCTCATCCCAAATCTTCCTTCTTTCCCTCCTGCCTGTCCCCTCAGTCCCAACCTCAAGCGTCACTGAGTCTTTCTAATCTTCCTTTTCTACAGACCCATCTGACCTCTCCCCTCATCGCCAGGCTAAGGTAGGTCCCAATTCTTCCTCAGCTTCTGCTCCTCCACCCTATAATCCTTTTATCACCTCCCCTCCTCACATTTGGTCCGGCTTACAGTTTAGTCCCACGACTAGCTCTTCCCCCACCTGCCCAACAATTTCCTCTTAGAGAGGTGGCTGGAGCTGAAGGCATAGTCAAAGTACAAGTACCTTTTTCTCTATCAGACCTCTCTCAGATCAGTCAGCATTTAGGCTCTTTCTCATCAGACCCCATTAAATATATACAGGAATTCCAATATCTAACTCTGTCCTACAGTTTAACCTGGAGTGACTTAAATGTCATCCTGACTTCTACCCTCTCCCCAGATGAAAGAGAAAGAGTTTTTTCTCTAGCCCAATCTCACGCTGATAACCGCTGGCTTCACGAGTCAGACCTCCAGGAAGGCATTAGAGCAGTTCCCTGAGAGGATCCCCAATGGAACTATCAGGCAAATTCCCCAGGTATAGCTAGACAAGATTACATGATTTCCTGCCTAGTTTGAGGGCTTAAAAAGGCAGCTTACAAACCTGTTAATTCTGACAAGCTTAAAGAAACTACCCAAGGTAAAGACGAAAACCCAGCCCAGTTCAGGGCCCACTTAGCAGCAACCCTTAGACGCTTTACCGCCCTAGACCCAGAAAGGCCAGAAGGCCGCCTTATTCTTAATATGCATTTTATCACCCAATCCACTCCTGACATTAGGAAAAAACTTCAAAAATTAGAATCTGGCCCTCAAACCCCACAACAGGAATTAATCAACCTCGCCTTCAAGGTGTACAATAATAGGAAGCAGCCAAACGGCAATGCATTTCTGAGTTACAATTACTTGCCTCTGCTGTGAGACAAAACCCAGCCACACCTCCAGCATACAAGAACTTCAAAATGCCTAAGCTGCACACGCCTAAGCCGCAGCAGTCAAGCATTCCTACAAGACTTCCTCCATCAGGATCTTGCTTCAAGTGCCAGAAATCTGGCCACTGGGCCAAGGAATGCCCACAGCCTGGGATTCCTCCTAAGCCATGTCCCATCTGTGCAGGACCCCACTGAAAATCAGACTGTTCAACTCACCTGGCAGCCACTTCCACAGCCCCTGGAACTCTGGCCCAAGGCTCTCTGACTCCTTCCCAGATCTTCTCGGCTTAGCAGCTGAAGACTGACACTGCCTGATTGCCTCGGAAGCCTACAAGACCATCACAGATGCTCTAAGTAATTCTCACAGTGGAAGATAAGTCCGCCCCCTTCTTAATTAATATGGAGGCTACCCACTCCACATTACCTTCTTTTCAAGGGCCTGTTTCCCTTGCCTCCATAACTGTTGTGGGTATTGATGGCCAGGCTTCTAAACCTCTTAAAACTCCCCAACTCTGGTGCCAACTTAGACAATACTCTTTTAAGCACTCCTTTTTAGTTATCCCCACCTGCCCAGTTCCCTTATTAGGCCGAGACACTTTAATTAAATTATCTGCTTCCCTGACTATTCCTGGGCTACAGCCACACCTCATTGCCGCCTTTTCCCCCAGTTCAAAGCCTCCTTCACATCCTCCCCTTGTATCTCCCCACCTTAACCCACAAGTATAAGACACCTCTACTCCCTCCTTAGCGACTGATCATGCACCCCTTATCATCCCATTAAAACCTAATCACTCTTATCCCGCTCAATGCCAATATCCCATCCCACAGCATGCTTTAAAAGGATGAAAGCCTGTTATCACTCACCTGTTATAGCATGGCCTTTTAAAGCCTATAAACTCTCCTTACAATTCCCCCATTTTACCTGTCCTAAAACCAGACAAGCCTTACAGGTTAGTTCAGGATCTGTGCCTTATCAATCAAATTGTTTTGCCTATCCACCCCATGGTGCCAAACCCATATACTCTCCTATTCTCAATACCTCCCTCCACAATCCATTATTCTGTTCTGGATCTCTAACATGCTTTCTTTACTATTCCTTTGCATCCTTCATCCCAGCCTTTCTTTGCTTTCACCTGGACTGACCCTGACACCCAACAGGCTCAGCAAATTACCTGGGCTGTACTGCCGCAAGGCTTCACAGACAGCCCCCATTACTTCAATCAAGCCCAAATTTCTTCCTCATCTGTTACCTGTTTTGGCGTAATTCTCATAAACACACACATGCTCTCCCTGCCTATTGTGTCTGACTGATCTCTCAAACCCCAACACCTTCTACAAAACAACTCCTTTCCTTCCTAGGCATGGTTAGATACTTTCGACTTTAGATACCTGGTTTTGCCATCCTAACAAAACCATTATATAAACTCACAAAAAGAAACCTAGCTGACCCCATAGATCCTAAATCCTTTCCCCACTCTTTTTCATTCCTTGAAGACAGCTTTAGAGACTGCCCCCACCCTAGCTCTCCCTGACTCATCTGAACCCTTTTCATTACCCACAGCCAAAGTGCAGGGCTGTGCAGTTGGAATTCTTACACAAGAACTGGGACTGCGCCCTGTAGCCTTTTTATCCAAACAACTTGACCTTACTGTTTTGCTTAGCCCTCAAGTTTGCGTGTGGCGGCCGCCGCCGCCCTAATACTTTTAAAGGCCCTTAAAATCACAAACTATGCTCAACTCACTCTCTACAGTTCTCATAACTTCCAAAATCTATTTTCTTCCTCACACCTGACACATATACTTTCTGCTCCCCGGCTCCTTCAGCTGTACTCACTCTTTGTTGAGTCCCACAATTACCATTGTTTCTGGCCCAGACTTCAATCCAGCTTCCCACATTATTCCTGATACCACACCTGACCCCCATGACTGTATCTCTCTGATCCACCTGACATTCACCCCATTTCCCCATATTTCCTTCTTTCCTGTTCCTCAACCTGATCACGCTTGATTTATTGATGGCAGTTCCACCAGGCATAATCACCACACACCAGCAAAGCCAGGCTATGCTATAGTACAAGCCACCAGCCTGCCTCTTAGAACCTCTCATTTCCTTTCCATCATGGAAATCTATCTCAAGGAAATAACTTCTCAGTGTTCCATCTGCTATTCTGCTACTCCTCAGGGACTATTCAGGCCCCCCCCCCCCTTTCCTACACATCAAGCTCAGGGATTTGCCCCTGCCCAGAACTGGCAAATTGACTTTACTAACATGCCCCAAGTCAGATAACTAAAATACCTCTTAGTCTGAGTAGACACTTTCACTAGATGGGTAGAGGCCTTTCCACAGGGTCTGAGAAGGTCACCGTGGTCATTTCTTCCCTTCTGTCAGACATAATTCCTCAGTTTGGCCTTCCCACCTCTATACAGTCTAATAGCAGACCGGCTTTTATTAGTCAAATCAGCCAAGCAGTTTTTCAGGCTCGTAGTATCCAGTGAAACGTTTATATCCCTTACGGTCCTCAGTCTTCAGGAAAAGTAGAACGGACTAAAGGTCTTTTAAAAACACACTTCACCAAGTTCAGCCACCAACTTAAAAAGGACTGCACAATACTTTTACCACTTTCCCTTCTCAGAATTCAGGCCTGTCCTCGGAATGCTACAAGGTACAGCCCATTTAAGCTCCTGTATGGACACTCCTTATTCTCTCTAGTCATACTCCTATTGACCGTTCTCAACTACGCATACATGCCCTGCTCTTGATTACACTGATGGTTTACGCTGCTTCTCCAAGCCATCACAGCTGATATCTCTTGGTGCTAACCCCAAACCGCCACTCTTAACTCTTAAAGTAAATAAATAATCTTTGCTGGCAAGGCTATGCTGAACCTCCTTAGGCACTCTCTAATCAGATGTCCTGGGTCCTCCCAATTCTTAGACCTTTAATACCTGTTTTTCTCCTTCTTTTATTCTGTTTAGTTTTTCAATTCATACAAAACCGTACCCAGGCCATCACCAATAATTCTAAATGACAAATGTTTCTTCTAACAGTCCCACAATATCACTCCTTACCACAAAATCTTCCTTCAGCTTAATCTCTCCCACTCTAGGTTCCCACGCTACCCCTAATCCCGCTCGAAGCAGCCCTGAGAAACATCGCCCATTATCTCTCCATACCATCTCCCAAAATTTTTGCCATCCTCACACTTTACCACTATTTCATTTTATTTTTCTTATTAATATAAGAAGACAGGAATGTCAGGCCTCTGAGCCCAAGCTAAGCTATCATATCCCCTGTGACCTGCACGTACACATCCAGATGGCCAGTTCCTGCCTTAACTGATGACATTCCACCACAAAAGAAATGAAAATGGCCTGTTCCTGCCTTAACTGATGACATTATCTTGTGAAATTCCTTCTCCTGGCTCATCCTGGCTCAAAAGCTCCCCTACTGAGCACCTTGTGACCCCTACTCCTGCCCGCCAGAGAACAACCCCCCTTTGACTGTAATTTTCCTTTACCTACCCAAATCTTATAAAACGGCCCCACCCCTGTCTCCCTTCGCTGACTCTCTTTTCGGACTCAGCCTGCCTGCACCCAGGTGATTAAAAGCTTTATTGCTCACACAAAGCCTGTTTGGTGGTCTCTTCACACGGACGCGCATGAAACTCTGCTCACCAGAATAAAAGTTCCACAAGTTAAATTTTGAAGTGTAACCTATATGTGATATTCACAGGTGTTTTGAAATGGGCATATGAGTTGCTAGTATCTTAGAATTGCTACAGAAACAAATATTTCCTAAAAAGGATATTTGCAGAGATTTCAAAATAGCCCATGTCATCAACATATCTTAAACATATATAACACAGCACGAGGGAAATTTGCATATTTTAATGCTTGGCAAAATAGCAAAGTTTGCTTTTTTAATGTTATGTGTTCTTTAGTTGGTCATAACAGATTTATTATAAATGGACATTCTCCAAAAGTCATTATGCTTCCTGATTTATTCATTTGTTTTAATCTTAGAGAGATTTGAATTGAACTAGAAATGCATGTAATTAAAACATTAAAGTTGAGCTCTGTTTAAAATGGGATTGAAAGAAAAACGGCTTTGGCAAACACCAATTATTGAACAGATTCACTTAGTATTTTTGGTCTTGATTATTTATAGTCCTTTTCAAAAAGTATGTCAAGGAAAAGCAGGCAAAGAAGCTATGACTGGACATACACATGCAATTTCAATGTCCAAAATATATGGTTACAAGTGTGAGACTGGAGTTAGATGGACTTGGTCTAAGGTCCCAGATCTGTCTGTCTTACGCTGTAGCCATAGGCACAGGCTTCTCTGAGCCTCAGTATTATTACCATGTTTAACACTGTAGAAATAATACCTATTTCACAGGGATTTTGTAAGACTTTAATAAAGTAGACATAAATAAATAAAGGGAGTGACACATCATTGAGATCTCAATAGATGGAAGCCACTTCTACCATTATTGTTTTAAATAATAAATCGTGTTAAATTAGCCATAAAGATGGGTATTTCCCATATCTTTTCAACATGTCCCTACATAGATATGTTCTGATAAATTTGATCCAGGGAGAGACACTGAAAAGATTGAAAAAGACATAAAGCTGTCTTTGATGTCCACTTTACTCCAGAGACTTTCAGCATCTTTGGTCCCCAGTCCTGGTTTCACCCCCTCATATGTGTGCCCTCTTTCATCTTCCTCTTCCGAGGCAGCCAGTGTCTAAAAGACAAGACTTCTCTCTTCTCCAGTTTTGGGTCTATTCCTAACCTAGTCTCAACTGGCTCTTTCTTCACTTTTTTTTTTTTTTTAATAATTCACCAACATAATTAAGTCTATGTTGTAAAACCAGATTCAAATATTACTTTATCTTTTCTTTGTATTGTAGAAAATAGAATTAAATCTTACAGAAACAGTTGTATAAAAACTAACTTGTGAGCTACTATCTCTTGCTAAAGAAAGCTGTAGCTAATTCGTGCAGTTCTTATTCATGATTTTTGCACAAATCATAACTATTTTCATTGCTATGCCTATTGAAAAATGCCCTACTGAAAATAATTTGATAAAAAGAGGAGGTTTTTTTTGTTTTTTTTTTTTTGTTTTTTTTTTTTTTTTGCTACTACAGTATTTCAATGCTAAGGAAAAATAGAGCTGTAGCTGAGACTCAAAAAAGGCTGGAAGAAGGAACTCAAATTCAGCAAGAGTGCTTCTCTCCCTCTCTTGGTTAGTTGATTACATTATTCTAATTGTGCACTGACACAATTAGACGCCCTGGCGTTTGTTAGAGGCCACTGATGTCTCCTATAAAAAAGTGTTTCTCTGATCTACTTTGAAAACAAACAAACAACAACAAAACCACCTCAGAGAAGGTCCTTGAGAGGAAAGCTTGGATCAGGTAATTCCCCCACCGATCAGCTACAGCCAGTAAGGCTGGATTATATCATACAAAAATAGTCTTTGGGAGACTATTTCCAAAGTTTTTCCAAGAATGTCATTTATAAGCAGGTTTATTCAAACTTTAAAAAAAAATACTTGACTTCTTATAGAAAACTTGTGAAATTTTTCAACAATGCAAGGAAAGGCAGATTTGGGAGTGTGACTTTAAATACAAACTCTAATAAAACTCAGCCTTTCCATTAATGTCTTTATTTTTATTTTAGTCTCAACTACACATGTAACTGTTTTAGATGTATTATTAAAAAAATAGAAATCTGGCCTTACACGATGGCTTTAGTAAAACAGGCTGAAATTATCTTAGTAAACAACATGATCATGACATTGGGCAGCAACTATTTAGATGCCGCTTTTCAAAAACAGCATCTGGAGACCGAATTCCTGTTTCTCTTTGGCTTGCAAAAATCATTATTTTGCTGTTAAATATAGGCCTATGGATAATACACATTTAGAGTTTGGGTCTTTACCTTATAAGGTAAAAGTAGGTGTGGAAGTGTCATAAAATAGATAGTGCTACAAATTCCACTGGCACCATTAACGAGACCCAGCTGTGCGTGTTAAACTCCTCAAAGACCAAACTTCAGGCACTGCATGCATTTAGCCAAAACTCATTATTTCTGAGAACATTTCAGAGTTGCCAGAAGTTCTATTTTGGCATATTGCAGATATATCAATAAATGCTGAGCTTTACAAATAGCTTGTTGTATGTACTTTTCAAAAGTTAATAAGTTACAAACTCAACATTTCTGACATGATTTCAGTTTCAGCTCTGCACTAATGTGCATGGTTTATGTCTACTGTTGTGGAAGTTCCTACCTGAAACCATCTCTCCATCACAACACTATTGTCTTCTTGAGAACAAACATCCAAATAATTAAGAAATCAGACATGCTAATTTTTGGTTCCATATCATAAATGTTTATTAATATTAAATATAAATTAAGAAGAGGTGTTCTGAAGTAATAATTAAAACTGATACTATCACAGACCACTTATCCATATAACCCTCTCTGAAAGTAGCTTCTTGGGAACATACTTCATGCATGTAAGTACATTTTAAGAACTTCTTGAAATAAACAAGTCATCTGAATCTATGTAGCTCTGTATGTGATGCAGAATCTTCTGTCTACTAAACTATTTTTTACTGCTTTCAGTTTTCTTGGTTTATTTTCAAGTGCTTATTGTTGAATTGTCATAAAGACCTGAACCATGTTTTTGCAGACCAGTAAACCAACAACTGAGGCAGTCAGTCCTGCCCATTTCCTGCTCCTCGTATAGTTGATCATCAAAAAAAAAGGCAATCCAACATAACCACCAATGCCAATAATTGCATAAACTTAGCTTTCAATCAATCCATAACTACGAGAATTCCATTCCAAGCCTGCACCTTTGCTAAGAAAGTTTATCACGAGGTCTGATGGTGTTCTCTTCTTATTATCTTCCAGAAACCAGAACATATATTAGTAAAAATGATCTCTGACATTTCCTAGACAATCACTGTATTCCACGCACTATACTGAATGATTTGCAAACATAATAGAATTTAAATCTCACAATGGAGACACTATTCTTACTCTTTCTTTTACCCAGAGGATATATCGAGGTAAAATGATTTGCATAAGGCTTCTCAGGTAGGTAAATGGCCAGGAGTCAGCGTTCCTGAAGTCCATGCTCTCCTCTTTCCCAGACTCCTTTCCTTGCAAAAGGGCATGATTCTTTCCTGTTTCTTGACCAGAGGTTTAAGTGGAAGGCTGTTAGCATGAAAGTGTTGGAATAGTCACCCGCCTTGTACAAATGGGTTTTCAGGGCATGAACCAGCATCTAAACTTCAGAAGAACTAAGATAGCTGATATTTCATTGCTCTAACATAGACAGATCTTAGTCCCCAAATCTTAATGGCAACTATTAGTTACAGAAGGGGAAATCTATGATAATGTTCTCTTAGGAAAATAAAGGCCACCTAAAGAGGACATACGTTACATTATGAGATCAAGCTGATGCCAACAAAATATTGGAAATATCAAAGAATATTCTCACATATGTATAGATGGATAGGTGCATCTACCATGACCAGACCTTATACATTTATCTTTCCTTCTTCTCCCTATGTCCTATAGATGACTGTTTGGGAAGATAAGGCCCTGTATATTTTGGTCCTCTTATTTGTATGCTATGAGGATTTCTAATAATCAAAACAATTCATGGTTTGGAGCCTAAAATATATTTGCTCATGTCACACAATTGAGACCTTTGAGTGATTATTTCTGTTGTCAGTCACTTCCAGAAATGTGTCATAACAAGCAGCAGAGTGACAAGTACAGGAAATGAATCACTAACCTTTTGACCTTCATCAACGTCTGAACCTAAAATTTATAGCTGATGAACGTTTAAATAGGACTGAGTTTCTCAACTGAAAATGCCTACTTTGGATGCCACTTCATCTTTTGTTAATGGCCTAGAACTTAAGTAAATTTAATCACTATAAAAAATGATTTAAAAGTGAGAGGTTGGAAGATGTTTTTTGTTATTTTTAAATTAAGCATTTGACATATTTTGGGAAATACTTTGGAAGTTCTTCTTAAATGATTTGGTGAAAACGTCACTAAGACAATGGCATTTTGTCTTTGCTTCTTATCCCTAGAGCAAATTCAGCTTTTCCCTAGAGTAAAGGTAAGAATAGCATTGTTCTCAGACTTGATCTTCTCTTGACTTCAGAGAAGCTGTGTTATGTCTGGAATTCTGAAGGAAAAAGGCCAGTTGTATTTTTCTGGCAAATTCATTGGCATTTATATATTTTAGATTAAAAAACTTAAATGTGTTGTTAGGGCTAATTTTAAGCCAAACACATTGTTGATCCCTCCAGTGGTAAACATTTTCAGGAAAGACATTCCTCTTGAAAACGAAACTCCTTAAAATATCATATTCTTTAGCTAATTTTACACCAAAAAAATAGTATCATGAAAAAATATGTACAAAATATTTGGTAACAATACTGAAACCACCCTGTGATAAATAAAGGGAATGAAATATTTCCTAAGTGTACCTCTTAGTGGAAAATCAAAATCACCAAATATCAGGTTACTTGCTTCTTGATATAAGACAGTGGTTAACAGTACAGCTTTAAAATATGATGATAGTATAATAAAATATGAAGTAAGCCCCCACTCATATATATAATAAAAGTGATGTCTTATTCCTCCAAATTTTTATAAAACATTAATTACTTGTCTAATTTGCTTGCATACAAATGATTAAATGTACCTGTATTAGTCTGTTCTCACACTGCTAATAAAGACATATGTGAGACTGGGTAATTTATAAAGTAAAGAGGTTTAATTGATTCACAGATCCACATGGCTGGGGAAGCCTCACAATCATGGCAGAAGGCAAAGGAGGAGCAAAGTCACTTCTTACTTGGCAGCAGGCAAGAGAGCTTGTGTAGGTGAACTCTCATTTATAAAACCATCAGATCTCATGAGACTTATTCATTATCATGAGAACAGCATGGGAAAAACTCACCCCCATGATTCAATTACCTCACACCAGGTCCCTCTCATGCACATGGGAATTATTATAATTCATGGTGAGATTTGGCTGGGGACACAGCCAGACCTTATCAATACCTGAGTAATAAGAACACTTTTCTTACAAATATTTGACTCTATCATAAGCTATGGATTATTCCTTGTGAATATCTAGATTAATGAATGGATAAAGATACTGGAAGAACAGAAATTGTGACAGTCTAAATATGTTACAGCTCTTGCTGTGGACGAATTTCATGCAAAGCATCCCAGTAATGATAATCATTCACTGACTTTTCCAACTAATTTGGAATTGGAAAAATATGAATACACCTATATCAGGTTCCTGATTGTCAAATTCACCTAAATATCAGGTCTACTTTCTTGCCAAATTGTCAAAAAGCGGAAATTTGTCTTAAATTTATCATGAGTACCCAACTTTGTTCTAGTTCCTAGACACAGACTTCCTCAACCTCACACCCCCAGATGGGTCAACTTGTACTCTTCTTATATAATTTCAGGCAAGCCCAGTCACTGTGTTAATCTAGAACAAGACAGGATAAAGTTCAATAGTCCAGCCCTCAACCTACCTCAGCTTTGGATTCTCTGAACTTACTCAAGCATCTAGATCTAGGACCTGAGGGCTCAATGATCCCACAGTGATGCTTGAATCTCAGGCGTCTACTATGAGAAGTAGATAACTAGGTAATCAACAACAACCTCTCCAGAGAAGATAAATAGATAGGGATGTACTTATCTTATATACTGATATGGTTTGCCTCTGTGTCCCCACCCAAATCTCATCTTGAATTGTACTCCCACAATTCTCACATGTTGTTGGAGATACCTGGCGGGAAATAATTTGAATCATGGGGGCAGTTTCCCCCATACTGTTCTCATGGTACTGAGTAAGTCTCACAAGATCTGATGGTTTTATCACAGGTTTCTGCTTTTGCATATTCCTCATTTTCTCTTGCTGCCACCATGTAAGAAGTGTCTTTCGCCTCCTGCCCTGATTCTGAGGCTTCCCCAGCCATGTAGAACTTTAAGTCCAATTAAACCTCTTTTCCTTCCCAGTCTCAGTATATCTTTATCAGCAGCATGAAAACGGACTAATACAGTAAATTGGTAACAGCAGAGTGGGGCATTGCTGAAAAAATACCCAAAAATGTGAAGTAACTTTGGAACTGGATAACACGCAGAGGTGGAAGAGTTTAGAGGGCTCAGAAGAAGACAGGAAAATGTGGGAAAGTTTGGAACTTCCTAGAGACTTGTCGAATGGCTTTGACAAAAATGCTGATAGTGATATGAATAATAAGGTCCAGGCTGAGGTGGTCTCAGATGGAGATGAGGAACTTGTTGGGAACTGGAGCAAAGGTGACTCTCATTATATTTTAGCAAAGAGACTGGCAGCATTTTGCCCTGCCCTAGAGATATGTGGAACTTGAACTTGAGAGAGGTGATTTAGGGTATCTGGTGGAAGAAATTTCTAAGCAGCAAAGCATTCAAAAGTGACTTAGGTGCTGTTAAAAGCATTCCATTTTAAAAGTGAAACAGAGCATAAGAGTTTAGAAAATTTGCAGCCTGACGATGCAATAGAAAAGAAAAACCCATTTTCTTTCTCCTCCATTTTTTGAGGATACATTCAAGCCGGCTACAGAAATTGACATAAGTAGCAAGGATCCTAATGTTAATCCCAAAGACCATGGGGAAAATGTCCCAGGGTCCCCATGCTGTGTGCAGCAAGCTAGTTATTTCCCAGATACAATGTGGGTAAAGGCATTGGGTAAATACAGCCATTCCAAATGGGAGAAATTGACCAAAACAAAGGGGCTTCCGGCCCCATGCAAGTCTGAAATCCAAAAGGGCAGTCAAATCTTAAAGCTCCAAAATGATCTCTTTTGATGCCATATCTCGCATCTGGGTCATGCTGAGGCAAGAGGTGGGTTCCCATGGTCTTGGGCAGCTCTGCCCCTGTGGCTTTGCAGGGTACAGCCTCGCCTCTGGCTGCTTTCGTGGGCCGGCATTGATTGTCTGCGTCTTTTCCAGGCGCACGGTGCAAGATGTCGGTAAATCTACCACTCTGGGGTCTGGAGGACGGTGGCCCTCTTCTGACAGCTCCAGTAGGCGGTGCCCCAGTAGGGACTCTGTGTGGGGGCTCCGACCCTACATTTCCCTTCTACACTGCCTTAGCCGAGGTTCTCCATGAGGGCATTTCCCCTGCAGCAAACTTTTGCCTGGGCATCCAGGCGTTTCCACACGTCTTCTGAAATCTAGGCAGAGATTTCCCAAGCCTCAATTCTTGACTTCTGTGCACCTGCAGGCTCAATACCACATGGAAGGTGCCAAGGCTTAGGGCTTCCACCCTCTGAAGGCACAGCCTGAGCTGCATGTTGGCCCCTTTTAGCCATTTATTTGTGCATTCATCCATGCATAAAGTTTGGGCTGTTTCCACCTATTGGTTGTTGTGAATGGTGCTGCCATGATCATGAGTCTGCAAATACCTCTATTAAAAAATAGAACTGCCATATGATTCAGCAATCCCACTTCTGGATCTACGGAGAAAAGAATTAAAAGAGGTATTTGCAGACTTATGATAAATGTGGCATATACAAACAGTGGGATATTATTTAGCCTTAAAAATAATATAATTTAGCCTGTCATATGCTACACCATTGATGAACCTTGAGGACATTAAGCTAAATAAAACAAGCCAGTCCCAGAAAGTCAAGTACAGTATGACTTCATTTGTATGAGATTTCTAAAGTAGTCAAATTCATAGAAGCAGAAATTAAAATGGTGGTTGCTAGGGATTGGGTGGAGGAAGAAATGGGGAGTTGTTCTTTGTGTTAGTCCGTTTTCAGGCTGCTGATAAACATATATCTGGGATAGGGTAATTTACAAAAGAAAGAAGTTTATTGGACTTACAGCTCCACATAGCTGGGGAGACCTCACAATCATGGTGGAAGGCAAGAAGGAGCAAGTCACATCTTAGGTGGATGGCAGCAGGCAAAAAGGAGCTTGTACAGGACAACTCCCGTTTTTAAAACCATCAGATCTCGTGAGACCCATTCACTATCACGAGAACAGCACAGGAAAGACCTGCCCCCATAATTCAATCATCTCTCACTGGGTCCCTCCCACAATACATGGGAATTATGGGAGATGAGATTTGAGTGGGGACACAGAACCAAACCATATCATTCTTTAATAGCAAATTTCAAATTTGCAAGATGAAAAAGTTACAGAGATCTGTTACATAACAATATAGATGTATTTAACACAATTGAAGTGTACACTTAAAAAATGGTTAAGATGTTAAATTTTATATTATGTGTTTTTTTACCACATTAAAAGATACTCAAGGAATTAACCGCTTCTTGGATTTCCCATTTCTATATTCTGCCTACCTCTCTGCAGGGTACTTGGCACCTGTTACCTTGGCCATGTCCCCCTCAAATGCCAGCTTTGCATTATCTGCTGCCCTCATAAGAAGTAAGTCGCCTGTGCATTTCCCATGAGATTCTGTGAGTAATTTTCTTTGGATAATTCACAGCTGGTAAAGCCATTTCAGAATCACTTTCTTCACGGATAGCAATAATTGTTCTCTCTAGCAGGGCCCAAAAGAGAAGAAGCAATTTGCTATACATGCATCACTAAAAGAGATAAGCAAAAATCGCCTTATGAAATTGGCATGGCTTTGCAAGCCCCAGATGATCCCTCGCTTTGACAAAAGCATGCCATGACTCTTGGCCTGAAAGTTAAATTGTTCATCTAATGTATAGTAAATAAACACTCAGTAAAATCATTGTTTCCCTTTAAATTTTCATACAAATAGTTCTATTCCCCTACAATTAAATCTCAAAGCATAATCGGAAACTTTTTACAGATTTTGGCAGATTTTGATTAAAAGGTATTTCCATTACCAGAGCTTAATAATTAGCAGAAATGAAATTTAAAGTATCTCATTGATTAAGTACAGTTGTTAAAAACAAAAGAAGAAGAAAAAAAGCCTGCTGTGGGAATTCTCCTTTTTGGACTCTCCTAGCACATTCTATTCTGTACTACAAATAACTTTTACTTTCTTTAAAAAAAAAAAAAAAGTACCTCTCTTTTATTTACCAGTAAATAGCTAAAGATCCAAGTTTCTCTTTCTTTTTGCTTTCTAACCTATTTTGACTATTTCACATCTCTTTGGACACTTCATTCAGGTATCAAAAGAATGGAAACAAGGAAAGGTAAAAATTAAAGAAAACAATTAGAGTCACAGAAAATACATAAACTCATTATAAATTATATTCCATATGAAATAACAACTCCCCAAAGAGTGCATTACACATGATAAGACTGTGCTGACATACAGTAATGATAGTGTTTTCTCCATTACTGAGTGGCCTAAGAATAATTTAATAAATACAGTGTGCATTGACAAACCAAGACGGCACAGGTCCGACTGCCTTCTTAGACTGGAATTTCTAATATCTTTTCAAAGTTGTTACAAAAGTTCTGTGAACAGTTTTAAGAAGTTTGTAGACCAGGTTACACTCATTTTTTGTTTTACTGAGATTGGTGAAAAAAAATATGTCAAAGAAAGGAATATAAAAATTACTTAAGTTATAAGTAGGAAAGCAAATTATTGTCTAATTTTAATTAAAGTAGACCATAGCCTAAAATAGCTGAACTATGTTGCTTTTCTCAGAAAAAAAGAATGTATCCTGTCTGTTTCTCATATTTTCTATAGGCAGAAAAGAATTAATGAAGTCTTATTTCTAGTTACATTAAACCTATCAAATTTTAATTACATCAGGGAATGAAGTGTAATTTGGTACCATCAAGCAATCATTGATAACGTTTCAAATGTCAGATTCTCTCATTTAATCACACCTCTAATTTATGAGTGACATTTTAGTTATAGAAGCTGATAAGATGTATCAGATAAGTTGATAAAGCAGAAATAGTGTCTTAATGAGCGTTTTAACAGGAATAGCGTCCAAATCTAAAATATTCAAATTTTACCACTTTTAAAGAATAAATGAATTTTCAAAGAGCCCCTTAGGTATGGGTCACAGGATTGCAAACATTTGGCAAAACTCTTCAAGCTGCAGTTAAGCCCTGTCCATTTCACTGTACATACATTATACTTAATTAAAAAAGATTCTTTATCATGGATCCAGATAGCTACAGTCACTTAATAGAAAAGAAAACTCAAGAAATAGAAATTCTCATGCTGTTTGCTATTGACTTTTGCAGTCACTTTAAAACTTTTTTATTCTCTTACTTCAACCACTATTTGATCATTGAATCTGGTCCCAGAGGAATATGTGGAGAACCAGTTGAACCAACTCTTTCTGTGTTTTTCGCACACCTTGTCTCTCAGCATTCATGATTTAGAGAGTTCAACATAGGTTTTGAGGGCACATTCATTTCAAGAGGATTACATGAAAGTACTAACTTTTTTGTGTGGCTAAAAGGGCTTTTCTTTGTTCTGTCACCAGGCGAAAAGGTTTATTTTGGGAATGCTCCCCATGGCAAACCTCTTTGAGAAATGAATTCCGAATTGCATTAAACCCTGTCTTCAGGAACTTCTAGATAAAGCATTTAAAGGAAATACTGGGACATTGTCTATCTTCAACTTTCTAACTTTGAGAAGTGATCTTAGCCAATCTGGAATTTTGATAGATTTCCTAGACACTTCATAAACGTTTAAAATAAGCAACTTTGTAAAAGACTCCACATTTACCTAGCCAAAAAAAAAAAATCCTCTCATAAATGCAAAATTAGTTCACAAGTTTGCAGGTAGGAATTCTTAAAATTTGATACAACTTTTTGCTCATATATAGAAGTGAAATTTACATAGTAGTTAGTTGCTAGTGAATTCATAAATAAAATTTATCGATAACAGATTTTAAGTAATAAGATGAAAAAAAAACTATATCCATAGCAGTACTGCTCAAGGCATGAGTAATGAAAGTAACATTAAAAAAAAATATTGGCCTAGAATCTGTTTCCACTTTTCTGCACTTTAAGACACTCCTACAGAGGCAGTTTGTCAGTCGGACTGATTTATTGGAGCAAGAAGTAACTTTAATCCTTTTCTTCCATTTTACAAAAGGGGAAACTGACACCCAGTCATTCATGAAGATCAATGAACAATTCTTTACATTTCACATGGTTGTCTTTACATGTTAAGGTGAAATATTTAAGGTTAAACTTCAATTGCATATTACTGATGTCTAGAACACTGTTTCCCCAAAATAAGAAAAAAATTTGCTTAGGCTTTCTGCAATTACAATAATAAAAAGCATAGTCTGTGTAACCATTTAGACATGCATTCAAATCCTAGCTCCAAATCCTGGTCCCACAACTAACTAGCCACATGACCTTAAGTGAATTACTGAGACTCAGTTTCACTGCCTATAACATCATAGAAAATAATACAGAGCTGGAAGACAAACATCAGAGAATCAATGAGGTACTGTGAAAAGGTGTCTAATGCAGGTGGTAGACCCTGTAAGGAGTAGCTGATACTGTGTTTTAAATTCCAAATGAGGAATGTGTATATTTACCTTAAAATTGTTTGGCCTTATTCTTGAGCCCAATGACCAGTTAATAAAGTATAACTGAATACTTTAAAATATCATTATCAATTTATAAAAAATATTTCTTAAGCTCATTTTGTGGCAGGTAGTGGGATGGTGCAGAAAGAACATATAACTCATTCAAGTCCCTGTCCTGTAAAAGAAATTAAGTCACACGAAATCAATAGTGACCCATAGATGTCTCTTATGTGATCAAGTGCTTGCTAAGTTGTGGTTAACAGTCCAAAAGTGCTCCAAGAAAAGTAAAGAGATAGACCTCAGTGAGGATTAGAGCAGACTTCCAGGACTCAGTGGAGGAAATTTGAATGGAGATGGAGATGATGAGAAGGCCAGTGGGGAGAGAGAAAAGTCACCCCACAGGAGCCATAGGCATGAACCCAACAAAGCTTGTATAGGAAGGGCAGATCCAACACTGGGTGGAGTCAACTAAGCAAAATATTCATATTCCAAAGCTTCCATATAATTCCTTATTCAGACAACATTGTATATTGTTACTTGGCTCAGCAATTGAATGTTGACCTCGTTCTTACGAGACAGGGAGGATAAGGACTGCAATTCAAAATAGCCAGATTTGGAATTAGCACTCACAACCCTAGACCATATTTCTCATTCCTTTAGCCTTACTCCGTAACCATGTTCCTAACCACATTTCACACTTAAAGTTCACCTTTTTAAATAGAAATTGATTTTCTACTTCCACTGTCCCAGAAAGCATTGCCTAAGAGCCAAAAATCCAAGGTTCTTGTCCCATCTATTCCATTAACTAACATGAAGCAAAAAACGAGCCTCCTGTCTCTGGGTGAAACTGCTACATGGAATGGGTGCTTCTGGGTTTGAAGTTCCACAGATCCAGTAGGGATTTTGCTGATTGGAGGACGGCACAGTACTCTCCAGTGCATCTCCAAGCCTGACTTCCTGACCTCTTTTATACAATCTCTGGGCAAAACTACCAGTCGCTGTTATTTTCCTCTCTGCGGTAAACATGGAGCTCAAGAATGGATAGAAAGACCTTATTGTATTGCTCTACCTGGTAAATAAATATCATGTTGAATTTGCATGGCAGCTTTCTGATTATTTTCATGTCTCCGATAAGCATCAAGTCTGTCATAGGTACAGTATAAAAATGCCTGAGATTGCCTAACACCGATACTGTGGCAGGAAGAGAGGAGAAGAGCTGTACTGGGGAAAATGAGGAGTACTTGTAATCCTCTCTCGGGGCAGTGAGAGGGCCTGGGAAGAAAAGATCGAGCTGTTCCGTGTTGGGGTTAATGTTGGCTTGAAATGAAACTTCAGGGCAAAATGAAGCAGAGCAAAGAGCAGCGCCCACAAACCAACCTTAAATATCACAGCGGCGGAACATTTACCTGAAAGAAAAGTGACACTTGGCATTAAAAGTTCAATTATCACGTTCAGTGCAGAGCCTTGTTCTAGTCTGGAGCTGCCGGGTGTCACATGGTGCGTGATAACTTGCCCTTGATTTGGGTTCATTTGAAGAGCGTAGAACTCTAACAAATAAACAGCCTTTTGGGACCTGTCCCCGGACGAGGACTGCCCCCCTCCCTCGGGCAACTACTACTGATGCTGTCCAGGCATCGCCCAAGGGGAAAGGTTGCAGCGGGGTCGGAAGGCGCGGGAGGAGTCTGGCGGTGATTGATGGGAAGGGATGAATGAATAAAAGTACTTGTCTGATGGCAGCAGAGACCCCGAGCAAACGGTGGAGGCTACACTGTCTGGCATTCTCGCAGCGTTTCGTCAGAGCCGGACCCGCCTGCAGCTCAAGGGAGGCGTGCTCCTCTCCCAGAGCAGGCTGGAACCCAGCTGGGTTCCGCCTCCCGGGAAGGTGGTCTCCATTCGTCGCTCTGCATCTGGTTTGTCAGATCCGAGAGGTAAACATTCGGGCTTGGTGTTGAATTAAAATCATTGATTGAACCTTATTCTGGGGCTTCGGTTTGGCTTACTAGTTTGGGATTTTAAAAAAATAAAAATTAAGCCTATAGAGAGGGCAAATTAAAATTAGGTTGGGTAAAGGAAGGAGCGCGAGTGTTTGAAGCCGTTTGGAGGGAACAGCGGTTTCCAAGTTCCTGCTGACTTGAGAAGTCTCTGCGGGTTTCCGAATCTCCGGCGCACTCCTGGGCGCGCTGCGGGAGCTGTAGCTCAGCCAGCCAGGGAGTAGCGGCTTTCATCCGCCGGGAGGAGTCTTTCGAGTTCAATCGCGGGGTATAGAGGTTCCCCTGCGGGGCAAAATGCAGAGCTTGACACAAGCCCTTGGCCTCTAGGTGCCTTAATTCCGCGGTTCCCACGCACGCTTAACTAAGACGTGTCTGTATTCCTCCCGTTACGTGAAAGAGTTCGGAGCTTTGCCTGGGACCCCCATCATTCCCTCCCTGGCACACCCCTTCCAGAACGCCCCGCCCCACTGCATATTATTTACCCCTCCTGGCCACGCGGGGGAAGAAAAACAGCTGAGAGGGCATCAGGAAGGAGTTTCGACCCGCGCTGGCGAGTCATGAGCGCCAAGTTTCCCACTGGCGCGCAAACTTGAGTTACTTTTGAGCGTGGATACTGGCGAAGAGGCTGCGGGCGGTATTAGCGTTTGCAGCGACTTGGCTCGGGCAGCTGACCCAAGTGTCCTGTCTTCCTTCCTCTGCTTGTCTCTAGGCTCTGAAACTGCGGAGCGGCCACCGGACGCCTTCTGGAGCAGGTAGCAGCATGCAGCCGCCTCCAAGTCTGTGCGGACGCGCCCTGGTTGCGCTGGTTCTTGCCTGCGGCCTGTCGCGGATCTGGGGAGAGGAGAGAGGCTTCCCGCCTGACAGGGCCACTCCGCTTTTGCAAACCGCAGAGATAATGACGCCACCCACTAAGACCTTATGGCCCAAGGGTTCCAACGCCAGTCTGGCGCGGTCGTTGGCACCTGCGGAGGTGCCTAAAGGAGACAGGACGGCAGGATCTCCGCCACGCACCATCTCCCCTCCCCCGTGCCAAGGACCCATCGAGATCAAGGAGACTTTCAAATACATCAACACGGTTGTGTCCTGCCTTGTGTTCGTGCTGGGGATCATCGGGAACTCCACACTTCTGAGAATTATCTACAAGAACAAGTGCATGCGAAACGGTCCCAATATCTTGATCGCCAGCTTGGCTCTGGGAGACCTGCTGCACATCGTCATTGACATCCCTATCAATGTCTACAAGGTAAAGGGCGCCTGCTGAAATCATGGTGGGCTTGAGGAAGGGGGCCTGGTTGGAGACGGGGAGATGAGAAAGCTTGTAGAGGGAGCTTCCCTTTAGCTCCCTCTTAAGGTTCTGCCCCTCCTAAAAGTCAGTAATCTTTGGAACCAAATTCCATTTGGTTCTGTCCACTCATAAAAGTCAGTAACCATTGGAATAAAATTCCATTCAGGTCTTCAGTAGACCTCTGCTAAGCTTAGGACAAGCGTAGTCCCCAGTCTAGCAATGTTAGTATCACTTTGGGAACTTGGTGCACATGAAGATTTTTCTGGCCTCACCCCAGACCTACTGAATCAGAAACTCTGGAGTGGAGCACAGTAATTTGTATTTTAACAAGCCCTTTATGTGATTATGATGAACTGTAAAGTTTGAGAACCACTAGTCCTGAAGGATCTAGTCCCTAAGTGCACCTAATGGGGTACATCCTCTAGTCAAAAGTGTGTGGTCCATGGACAGTCAGCATCAATATTACCTGAGAGTTTGTTAGGAATGCAAGGCTACCTCAGACTTACTAAGTTAGAATCTGCATCTTAAGATCTTCATGTGATTGATATGCCCACTAACTTTGGGAAGGACTGTTTTGGAAGACTTTGAAAGTAGCAGGTACAAAGTAGGTATTTAGGAAATAAATGGCCTGGAAAAAAGAGATCCAGACTGGTGAGTAGGAAAAACACAGTTCACCTGCTGTGACGGACTGTAGCTACTTTGTATTAAATATCTACAGTGGGCCAAGGACTGGGTGAGATGTGTTACTTCCATTATTCCTTCCAGCAGCCCACAAGTAGATATTACAATTAGTTTACAGATGACTGGTAGGATGATCAAAGTAAATGAATTAGAGGTGGAGCTGGGGATCAGACCCAATCTGTCAGGTTCCAAAGTGCAAGCTATATGATGGCACCCCATCAATTATTTCATGGACAAGACCAAGGAGCACTCAAAATCTGTAAGGGTTTCGGTAGTTAACATTATTGTGTGATTACCATGGGCGTCAGTAGAAACACACAAAGAGCCAGGTTGCTCCAGGTTGCTTTGGAACTCCAGACACATCCCAGCACCTCTGGGCCTCAGTTTCCTCAATTCCACAATAAGGCTGCCAGTGCCCACTTACTGAGGCTTTATGGTGTTAAAAAAAAAAAAGCAGTCTAAATAAAACAGTTGGAAAATTTCAAAGACATATGAAAATATTTAAAACTTTCCCAGCAGCAGCAGCAGCAGCAGCAATAGAAAGTTGCACATAAAAACACAATCACAGTGTAAGGAAATGGAATTGTGCTTTGCAGATTTGCCTATAGCTAGCCCTGACTTCAGTACTTCAGTACAAGGGGAAAAAAATGGAATGTAAAGTTGGGAAATGTTGTAGGGAATGCTTTGACCTATTGGCAGGAGTAGTTACCATAAGGCATGCCTGTAAATTTCCCTTCATAAATCTCTAAAAATCCTAACCCAATAGCTATATTTTAAGGGGAATTCCGAACATTTCTGAGGTTTAGCGGTGAGAGTGGATTAGGATATAGTTTTCTCTAAAGGGAATCACCCCCGGAAATGGGGGAATCGATTGAAGAAATCCTAAAATCCTGTATGGCAATTGATTCTGATGAACTGTGAGGATTTACTTGGTAAGAGCTGAAATTGAATCTCTAAATGCAGCCACAACTCCATGAGGGCCAGAAGTGACCCTTTTACTTCTTAAGGCGTCCCACAAACTAAATCTTCCCATTCTAATTTGGCAAAGGAATTTCAATTCAATTCATCAAAACCGAATTGAGAACTTTTCAGTACAAGGTGTTGTGATAAATTTAAAATAAATCTAACAAGATCTCTTCCCAAAGGGAGATTAAAATCTAGTTTTGCTAGGTTGGCACAGGATTTTATGAAAGTTCTGTTTAGGGGGTCAGGAAACCCCACATGTCCAGCCCAGTTAGAAACCTTTCTAAATCAGACAGTAGCTGAAGTGCTGTGTAGAAGGTGGGATTGAGAACATTTTTTTAGTTCTGGTGTGCTGCCTCCAGGACAGATATAAATCAGCTCTTCCAGAACCATCTTATTTCCTCTGTCTGGTTAAATGAGTATTTGTAATAAACTAGAGAATTTCTGACTCCCCAAGAGGTCATACAGTTTCCCTTTCATTTCAAACTCCCATATGATTTCCCTAGGAAGTTACATCCTTTTCCCTGAAGCCATCCAGTCTTAACATGACTGTGTTTTTACTTCTGAAATAAGCCAATGAGTCATTATAAATCTGTCCATCCATTAATCTACATGGGTCACAAACACATTCATCACATTACGTCCCATCACTAAGGTCATCATTATTGAATCCTACCTTGTGGCCTTAGGTTTAGCTTGAGACACAATATCATAATAATGGCTACCAGTTAATGATGCACTAGGCACTTGGTTTATTTCATTAAGTCACTATAACAACCCTGTAGAGGAGGTATCGTTATCATTCCTGCTTTAGATCTAGGCAAACTACTTGTCAGAGAGGTGAAGAAGTAACTTGCCTAATGTCATACCACTACAAAGTAATGAAACTGGGGCTTGAAAGCAGATCATCCAGCCCAAGACCCTGTGGTCCACCCCATCCCACTGCACAAAGCATGCTCAGGCACTGCATGGTCATCTCCAACCTTGAGTATTGTTTTAGGATCTCATTTGGGAGCATTTGGTGGAATTATGGCAAATAATATGCTATCCCACAGTAGAATACTTGGTAAACATTTTCAGAAATTAATTTGAGTCAGGATTTCGGTCTCTTGAAACCCCCTTCAGCTGGTCTGTAGTGTGTAATATCAGTGGAAGTTATTCTAATGGCTTAATTTACCAAAATATCAAATCCAGGACCAGTTAAAAGCCATTTATTCTCCTAAATAATTGTGGCAACGTAGTTTTTTTAATGCATTTAGAATTTCAGAGTAGTCAGGTATGATCATTCAGAAAAAAGTAATTTAAATGAGTTATGAAGGCTATATTTAATATATCCTAATATGAGAGGCTTAAATCTAAACCAGTGATTTCTAATTTTTTTGGTGGGGTTTTATAATTCTCTTTGAGAATTCAATATACACAATTTCTGGGGGTTTGTGAAATTCTCCTACTCTCTTGTTGGCACACTAAGGGCCCAGAGGCCCAGAAATGTCAATGTGAATCTATTCCATTAATCTAGAGTTTAATGAATATAGAGTTCAGTAAAGTTGACAAATCACAAAATGTCATAGCTCTTATTGGAAGCTACAGTCTTCAGGCTGTGGAATTGGTGGGACTTTATCTGGAGTTGCTGCAGTGGGAAGCTGAAAAGCATTGGGAAACATGTCTGATCTGCCTGGACTTCCTCAAGGAGCTGGGTCCCTGGAAACTTTTAGGAAGAATCATACCACTCTCACAGGTCTCCTGTGTTGTGGGTGAAATCCTGTGTTGAAGGCTAGGGAAGTGTCTGAGGACACTTAGCAAGTTGAGGCTGCTGAAGAACTTTAAACTCATGTAAACATGCAGAAAATAATAAGCGTTGCTTACGCTTCTCATAGGCACACACTAGGGCTATGCCTACATTACACAACACCAACCAGAAGAACAATGAAAACTTCAGGCATCCAAAGGAGATATTTATTTAAATATATATGCACGTGTACATGTACATACATTAAAATGTTAAGTTTTATAAGAATATATAAGTAAAAAGATGACTATCATTTGGCACAGGGCATGGCATATAGCAAGAAATGATAAATGTTATTAAAATGTGTGTATGTGTGTGTATGTGCGTTTTGAGTATTCTTTGTTTTCCAGCTTTTGTCGTGACAAACATGACTACAAACGACATGTTTGTACATATGGCTTTGCACACATGTGTGACTACATCTGAAGGGTAAATTTTTATAACTGGAATTATTAAATCAAAATGTGTGTGCATTGTAATTTTGAAAGATATTGCCATATTGTGCTAGAAAGTTATTCTTGTACTCTTGGTATTAATCACTATTTTATATAATATCTCAATATGGATGTAAATGCATATTAATGTTTATCTGTAATATGTATATGGGCCACCATGCTTAATATTTACATAGTCTACATATACATCAGAACCAAAAGCCAGTGCTTGACTACCTGACGTTAGGATGAATTTCTCCTTATTCACAAGCTACTTATTTTGCCCTTCCTATATATCCTAAAATAAATGGGGTAATCTAGATATTTGTTCACATGAGAGCCTGGTGTTCCACTACTAAGTTGTAGAAGCATAGATATCAAAGCTGGATAAAAAGCAAGACAGCCGGGTATACTTGGGGATGCTATCAATGTGTTTATGTTGTTGTTTGGTTGGTTAGTTGATTTGGCTTGGTTTGCTTTGGCAATGATATTTAACAAAACTTGGTTGTAGGTTGGGAGAAGTTAAAAATTCTTGAGCAAATAGTGAGTTCTTAAATTACTTCTGAATTTTATTAACTCTCTTTATGTTATATTTACATGGATAACTGAGTTAAAGAAGTTAGCTCTCAAATATAGCTTCCTTTATGTGTAAAGAAATTGCATTTAAAAACAAATCTACTTGCAAACTGATAAGACAAATACCAATATCCACATTAACTAGTTTGGTAAGGATCCAAAGGTAATCAGGTGTCCAGTGGTGATGGAGAGCTAGAAATTAGGCTGGTGACCCACTGGAGTGCTTCTAGATGGTTTTACAGTTAAGAACTGTAGGCTACTATTAGAGGCAAAGAGGCTGCATTCATAGTTCTGAAAGGCAAAACTGCTGATCTTTAACGTTTAACTAGTTAAGGGTGGGAACATATAACATTAAAATGCTGGTATGTCAAAATGCGGAATTGCTTCACTGAACCCACAAATGAGTTTCGAGTGAAGTGACCTTGGCAGGTAATCAGACATTTTCTGCTTGTGACACAATCAGGATTATCTTTCTGAACAAATTTACCTTTTGCACTATCCTCTTAGACTACTTCTGGTACTTAACAAGTTTATGTATAATTAACTAGTTTTGTAGTTAAAAGTAAAAGTTGATGGAACACCACCAACTTTTGAAGTTATAATTTTCCAGTCAGTAAACTGAAGTATATTCACATATTCCAATCAGTAAACTGAAGCATATGCATATATAGCAACACAAGAAGTAAGGGTATCATTGGGAGAGGAGTCTAATTTATCCCAGTTTAATAACAATGTTCTCATTTCCAGTCAAGTAACTGAAATATTTTAGTAATATTTAAAGATATTTTACCAGCATAAGCATTCTGAACCAAAAGTGGAACCTGTATGATTTATGTAAAGCAAAATAATTTTTAAGGAGCACCAATTAAGTGCATTTAAAGTATTAACTTTTAAAACGTGTTAATTAAAAGCCAGGCTTTTAGCTTGAATGACCTGGAATCAGTTAACAATACAGCAAATACCCTGACACCCATCTATCATAGTGGCTGCAACTGTCAATACTACACAAATGCTTCAGACAAATGATGTTATACAGAAGACATAAGAGTAGTGGGCTTTTTCCACTCATATTTTTACTGATGTCCAAATGAAAAAGAAAAAGAAAGCTTGATTCCTTCTGTATTAAAGTATTGTCATAGTCAGATAACAGGTTGATAGCAGAATTCAAATCAACCAGAAACTCAGACTTCATATTCCCAATTCACTGTTTCACATGTTGGTCATAGATTTCTGTGACAAAATGGTCAGTAAGCACTTGGCCTTGGGCAATGCAAGGTTCCCTAGGTTCAATTTGATGGTATTTCTTGTGTGTGCCTTTGATCTGCCACTTGGTCACTCCGTAAATCCAAGCCTCTACAAATGTCAAGGTAAGGTTTTCTTTCAATATGGTAAGGCTTATCTATCAAAAGGTTTACATTTCTCAGTTTGCTCATTTAAAATGAGTCTTTCAAGATTGAAGATATTTCCATAGTTGTACAAAAGGATAACGTAGCCAAGACCCTGTTGTCTCCAGGCCAGGGAGCCATGTTCTTCAATTCACAAAGAAAACCATATAAGGGTATCTCTGTGTAGCTAATATGCTATAGTTGATTATTTTTAGAGAAACATGCCAAATGCTAATAAATGATTAAGTTCTTTAAAGGGTGTTGACAGATAAAGCCTGAGCTGAAATAAGATTCAAGATGTAATTTATGATGTGAAACATTCTCTTTCAGGACTTTGCACAGTTAAAAAGAAGTTGGTTATGTTTGGGAGATAGCTGAATGTGGTGTGTGGGTATACCTTAGCCAACAACTTCTCTAATTTTAGACTTTTTATTATTTCCAAGGCTTTTATTTTAGAGAGTTATTTATCCTTCCCTGTAGGGCCTCTGGTGAAAATGTAAAGGAACAAGAAAATGGCCAAAATGTGGTGGTGGATGGGAGAGAGGGAGAGAGAGAGGAGAAGGCGTGAAGGGAGAAGATAGAAGAGGATCATTCTTGAATCAGAAATTTATTAGCAAAATTGATTGAAGCATTTCTCAAGCAAGTCTCCCCTTTTGAGGCTCAAAACTGCACTCATGCCTGCTGACCTGTGTCTTTTCCCCACTTCTGTCTTCTTCAGTTTCATTGTAGTTTCCAGAAAGGAGGAAAACTATCCTCAGAATGTTTACACTGTACGCTGTCTTCTTCCCACTCACTCAGTGTGTTCAGCCTATTTTAATGAGCTTTCAGATTCCATAGTAATCAGACATTTTCTGATCACAGCTTATTAGTCTCCCATAAGATATTCCACAGATAGAATTAGGCTTAGGTATGGCATGAAGTTACTTAATAAGGTTTGTTGAATTCATGTAGTTTGCAAGTCTCGTTCTGAGCCAGGAGGCCCTCAGGTTCTCATTCTTCTGTGTCTTCAGATATCACCAGTGATCTTAGAAGATCCAGCTCAGATAAGTGAACTAATAATAGGCCAGGTTTGTGAATGGGGTTTGTTATTTCCCTTAGTTGGATCTTTTCAAAATATGTAATATGTCGGTGATAGTTTTAAAGCTCAAACTATGGATATATTTTTAAATTTAGATAATAAAAGAGTACAATCAATTTCTTTCCTGGCCTGTTACAGACTCAGAAATAAATTTCTGGTAGGAAAATATATTTGAGGTAAACTTCAATTTCTCTTAAGAAATATTTTTAAAAAATTGTTTTCTATCTCTATGTTTCTCTTAGAGATTTTGTTTCAAGAACTTTAATTCATTTTCATAAGCCATTGTTCTATTTCAGCAAGTTAGAGGAATCTTTCCAGAGCTGTGAAAAGGCCTCTGTTTTGTGGATGTGTGTGAAATAGATTCCCATGGACAGAACCGCTGCCTTGCACAACTCTAGGGGGCACTGTACTTATTGTAATCTATTGAGATGGCACCCCTGGGGGATAAGCTAACATTATTTCTGACCCACATATTTCTAACTCACATAGGCTAATCTTTAAGTGATTAAGGGCATTCTGATGGATGCAGGGTAGAACTTGTAATTTATATTTGTCCTTCAGGGCACGGTGCACTGTATGTCAAGAAGAAAATATTTCCATGCACTTGATCAGCATATTGACTCCAAATTCAAAGCTTACTTTGAACTATTTCTTTGTGTATTAATACAGAAAGAGTTCTGGCATGGAAGTCCTTTAGTGAAGGTGCCCTATCTCATTAAAACTCTAGTTCAAACACAGAAAAACTCTTAACTACTACAGGAAACAGAGACAAAAACAGAATACACCCTTTCCTAAAGTTGTGAAATGCAGCCATTCCATTATTTTCCTTTTTTGACTCTTACTGTGAAAACATTTATATAATGCCAGTCGTTTAAAGAAACGTTCACAACTTATCACAGGATGGAATAGACTGCAGTCTGGCAAAGTAATCTTGGTTGTCCTCTTAATTACACCACTCACTCATCCTCTAAAACAATCATCTCTTACAATGCTCCTATGTTTACTGCATCTACTTCCACGAAACTTAACAATCCTCTCCACAGCTGAAGCTCTTCATAGACTCCCATTACATAGTGAGAAACAGTAGGTTCTGTTTTGTATCAGTCATTGCCTTGACAAGTTTGAGTAGGAGAGAGAGGGTGGGAGAGGAATTTTTGTCGTTACCTTTTCCGCCCTGCATGGAAGAGCAGAACTCCAACAAGAGTCCAGCCCACTCTCAAGCCTCAATTCTAGAGTTTCTGACTCTATGTGCCAAGAAGACCTGATCATCAGTACTAGAAAATATAAATAGTAAATATACAGTCATGTCAATTATCTAAAGAATATATGTAGAGTATGAGAACTGAAAAGCTCATGACAAATGTTTTGTCATAGATGATTTCTGCCGTGTGATCAAATTCATTCATCCACTCATCCGTTCATCGTTACTTAACAAACATTGAATGAGTGACCACTGTGTGCCAATCACTGTACTAGGCATTATAAATGTTGTAGAATATTCTGAAACAAATAAACAGTTAAAGCTCAATGTACATTTGTAATTTAATAAAGTAGAAAAAGAAAATGCTATCTATGTTTAATGAGGTGAGTGAACATTTGCTTGTACAAGATGGTTAACTTTGACATTTCCTGACTTTATGGGGCTTGACTCCTTTTGGCATTAACAGGGGTGTGTGTTAACAGGATTTTTTTTCTTCATTTATTATCTCAAGTATGTGATTTTTAATTAAAAAGAGAAATGAAACATGTAAATCCCCTGGTTAGAGAGATTTTGTAGGATTCACTTCACAAAACCCTCAAATAAGTAAAGAATATTTGTTTCTTATTCATGCTATTTATCCTTTTAGAAAAATTTTAAACTATAATATCAAAATGACTTTATAATGTAATAGAATAATTTATTTGGATTCTCTTGCCTTGTTTCTTTCTCAAGCAGCTGTTCCAAGGTAAAGTTATAAAATCACGGTCTTTCTTGAGTAGAAATCTTTTAGCCAGTATGGCCACACCTTTTTTCAATCTAGTGTTTATTTATTTGTGTTTATCATCCAAAAGAAATGTTCTAGAGAAGCAGTATAAGCCTTAGGGTAAAATGGGTCAGCACAAACATAGGCTATCATTTTGTCAAATGGATACCATATTGCCAGCAGGACTTAACACTAACAACAGCTATTCAGTTAGATGAGACATCATGATATGAAAACCAGTGCCAGTTATGTGAGTATTGCCAACTGGCTCATATTTGATCAATGTTAGGTAACATATATTCAACTGAATTTTAAACAGGATTTAAAATTTTAATTTATGTGGAAGCGACATAGTGTCAATATTAAACTCTAAACACCCTTTTTGCGATCAGAGAGACAGCCTTTTGATTACATGTTTGAATTGTCTTCACTGTTCAGACCTTGCCCTTAAGTTATCTAATTTAATGGGGTAAAGTCCAAAGAAAAAACTAAAAATAGGGAATAAGGAATGTGTTATTGCTGGGTTTAAAGTTAGAGTTGCTTCCTCTTGCAATAAAGTGAATCCATTTCCTCTTCAGTGGGGAAAGCTGTATCCTTAGACTTCAAATTATTGATGTTAGATGTTGTTATTTTTCCCAAAGAATGATGAAGAAATGAATGTCTAAGAATCATACCCATCTATAAGAACAATCTCTCACCAAATTTTAAAGATGGCATCTTGGTTGAGAGTGAATTTTTTTTTTTTTTTTTTTGGCAAAACTTCATAGTTTTTCCCCACCAGGGATACCTTTATATTTTAGGTAAGCTTCAAGCACTAGCTTGCCTAAAGACTTTCTTGCTAGAGGCCATTAAGATGACAGAGATGAGCATCAATAGTGGGCATGGTTTCTGTCACAGAGTATCAGGCTTTGCTGGGTCTCCACAAAGCCTTCTGATCAGTGAGGCAGAGGTTAAGATTTTTAAAGGAAGAGCGTTTAGAGTCTCGCCAAAGCCATCCTTCTCACTACAAAATAATGGAAGCAACAGTGCATGCTCTTCCCACATCTTCTATGGCCTTCCAGAGCCAATAGCATCCAGTTCTAAATTGAAAGCATGAAATGCTGAAAGCTGATAAAGGTTAATGCTCTCTCTCTCTTTTTTTTTTTTTTTTTTTTTTTGCAGTCTCTTTCCCTTCAAAAGTGTAGACTAGAAAACTGTAATCTCTCCGTGGTGATTACGTGTCTGACTATCTCTCTGTTGAGCTTGAAGAGCATTGTTATAATTTTCAGTTTGTGTTTCCCTGTTTTCTGTGATAGCTTGGGTCAGAGGTTGGGCTGCAGGCCTCCAGTGGTATGAAGAGCAATAATCCAATTTCTAGGCTGAGCCAAAAACAATGGAAACCTCAAAACATGGCCTGGATTCAGTGCAGAGCTCATTTTCATCAGCCAGACTTCTTTCCCTTCAATGGTCTGGACGCTCATTCATCTTGATTCTTCTGATAGCCATACCTACAGGATAACAATATTAACATATTTGGAAATAATTTAAGACAGAATAAAATATTTTAAAATATCCAAATGTTTGTACATTATTTGAATAAAATAACTAGGGGGATTAGTCAGGGTTCTCCAGAGAAACAGAACCAGTGGGATAGATAGATGGATGGATAGGTAGATAGGTAGTTAGTAGACAGACAGATAAATAGATAATGAGGAATTGGTTTATGAGATTATAGAGGCTAAGAAGTCCCATAATTGGCCATTTGCAAGCTGCAAATATAGGAAAGCCAGTGGTGTAATTCAGTCCAAGTCCAAAGGCCTGAGAAACCAGTCTGAGGGCCAGGGGAGATGAAATGAGACATTCCAGATAGGAAGAAAAAGGGGCAAATTCCTTCTGCCTCTGCCTTTTGTTCTATTCAGGCCCTCAAGAGATTGGATAATGGCCACCCACCTAGGGTAAGGCAATCTGCTGTTCTGAGTCCACAAATTCATATACTAATTTCTTCCAGACACATCCTCACAGACACACTCAGAAATAGAGAATGTTTAATTGAGCAACCAGTGGCTGGTCAAGTTAACACATAAAGTTAACCATCGCACTAGGTGAGCAGAAGATTTTGCTCTGCATCTAGATATTTTACTATTATTTGACACATAGCTATAGGTTTAAAAAAAATTTGATTTAATTCTAAACATTTTGTTTTGTACAATCACCTCCTTCAAACCACTGTCGGGCAGGTATTATAGTGGTTGTAAGCATAGGCTCTAGACCATCTGGGTTCAAATGTGGATCTATTACTCACTTAAGTGAGCAAACAAATGCAAGCAGGCATGTGGGTTTCCTAATGAATAACAAATTACCCTACAATTTAGTGGCTTAAAACAGTAAATATTTTTTAAATCACATTGTGTCTTTGGTTTGGCAATTAAGGAGTGGCTTAGTTGGGTGGCCCTGGCTTAGGGTCTCTCAAGAAGGTACATTTAAAATACTGGCTGGGGATGCAGTTGTCCAAACGTTTGTCTAAAGCTGGAGGATCCTCTTATTCACAGACGTGGCAAATTAGTGCTTGATGTTTTCAAGAGGCCTCAGTTCTTTGCCATCTGGTTTCTCCACAGAGGTGCTTGAGTGTCCTCATGACATGGCAGCTGGCCTCCCCCAGAATAAGTGTTCCAAGAGAGAGGAAGCCAGTTCTTTAGGAACTAGTGTCAGACATCACACATCATCACTTTTGTCACATTGTATTCATTGAAAACAAATCACTAAGTCCAATCCACATTCAAAGGCAGGGAAATTAGGCTTCATGTTTTGAAGGGAGGAGTAATCAATAGCAGAATATTGTCTGAATAAGTTGTACCAGGCTGGGTCTAGCATAATCCTTGAAACCAGTTGGATAATTTTTATTCTTATTTCTAAGGGTAATTGGCAGTTCTTTTAAAGCTACATGGGTTCAAAGCTGGTTCAGACCTGTGGTGCACTGAGTCTCCCCCATTTCAGTAAATGGCTTCACCATGCACATGGTAAACCTCTGTGAGTGTCCTGACTTCCAACATCATGTGTCCAACCCATCAGCAAGTCCTGCTAGCTACCTCTACCCTTAAAATATATACAGCCTATAACCCGCTCTTCACAGCCTCAGGGCGCACAGGATCCAGCTCACCACTAGTTCTCATCAGTGCTTCCTTTCTTGGCCCTACATTCTATTCTACACTGGGCAGCAACAGTGATCTCTTGAAAAATATGTTAGATCATGCCATTTCCCTTCTTCAAACCTTGCAATGAACTCCCTCAAAAAAAGCATTCAAATTCTTCCCTCTACAACTTCATTTTCCATGCATTTGGGCTGGGTCAGTCTTCTCCAGCTTTAGTAGCTAGTAGCCTCATTGCTGTACCTCCAGTTCACCAGGCTTGTTTTGACCTCAGGGCGTTTGCACATGCTCTTGCCTCTGCCTAGAATGCTCTTCGCATGGCTTACTGTCTTATTTCAGTCAAGTCTCTCCTCAAATGCTGTCTCTTCAGGGTGACCTTACTGAGAAGCTTATCAAGAAAACACCTCAAATCCCACCCTCACTCAATATGATCACAGCCTCTGTTTAACACCATTTTAAGTATGTATGTGTTTTTTGTCTGCCTCCCTCACTATAGTGTAAACTCCATGAGAGCAGGAGTGCTCAGAATGGTGTCTGGCACATAGTGAATGCTCAATAAATATTCATTGAATGAATGAATGAACAAGCAGAATTAATGAGTCAGTTGATTAACCCAGAAGTCACAAGATAGAGGCTATGATGGCTCACAGATGTATTTTGATAATACAATGTTATATGAGAGTTTTTTAAAAATATATATGAATTGGACTTTAATAAATTGTGAGATTCATATAAAAATTCCAATCTGGGTTCTTTAGAAAAATCAAGAGATTTTTGTATTTGGAGCCCCTTAGCAAAAAGTATGTGATGTCTACTAGCAGCTGCTCCTTTCAGACAAAGTTTACCCCAGACCCCACCCCACTCCCTGTCATCTTCCTGACACCAATGACTTTCTGAGACCTGGCACCCTCCACTTCTCTGTGTTACCTGCCTGGCCCTGTAGGTCTTCAGGATCCTACATTAAGCATATATATGATAAGTCTGCCAACTTTTGTCCTACATGTCTGTGTAAGTTTTGATATCTAACTTAGAAATGAAGTTGGTCCTATGTTGAATCTCCAAGTCAAATTCATTATGAGACAAACATTTTAGCCTTTGACGTCATTCTAGTTATAGAACAATCAACTCAGCTTGACAAACTCGGTAGAGTCTTCACTACTAGTGAAAGGATGGAAAGACTCCATTGTGTCTCAAAATAATTTTCACTTTTGCAAGGTTGTTTTTCAAACTATTTTTAAGACCCATGGATTTGAAATACTTTTATTTTCAAAACCTCATGAACATTTGATCCAGATGTTCACCTAAAATGATTCATTTACCAGTGTGGGACACACCATATTGTCCTAAGAAAGAAAATAACCACATTTAATAATAGATGGTTTCATAGTCTGCAGTCAGATAAAGAGAAATATATACGTGTACATATATACACACTATATATATATAACATACTATGTGTGTGTATAAATATATATCTATAATAGCAATAACTATGTCTTCTTGCTCCTTATACAGCCAGTCACTGTTATATTTTAGAGTCTATGAATCAAGCACTGTTAATATTAAACATCTGCTATGTGTCAGGCACTGTTCTAGGCAGTTGTGGAGCTCATAGTCTGTCTTACACTCCAGGGATCCAGACAGAAAAAAATCTAAGCAAACAAATAAGTTAATGTGTTATGCCACAGGAATTGATAGACTATGGATAAAAAGGAAAAGAGAGTAGGGAGATAGGGATGTCTGACCGGTTACGGTATCTAATAGTGTGATCAAGGTAAGTCATGTTGAAAAGATGAAATTTGAGTAAGACCTGAAGGAGATAAGCGAGTTAACCAGGTGAATCTGTGGGGAAAGAGCCTTCTAGGATAAGGAAGGACCTACAGCGAAAGCCCTAAGTAGGAATGTGCCTGGTGTGTTTGAGCAACTGTGTAGCTACTCCTACTGAATGATTGTTCAGTTAGGTAAACTGACTGCAATGAAGAACAAGTGCCTGAATGCACATGCTGTTCTGCATGGAGTACTACTTCAGTAGGGAAGTCTGGTCTCCTCAGCTAAGGACTGTTTATCATTCAATTTTAATTAACCCATATTTTGCTTTGGCCATGATCTGGGCATTTCAGACTCCATGACAGTATACAGGTTCAATTTTCAGGAGGAACTTAAGCGACTGGCTCAAGTTTGCTCTGATGAGGTGAGCTGAACTCTAAGCTACTGTATACGCATGATGACTTCTTATAAGCTGGCTGCATTTTCATCAATCCCAACACACTTTCCTGTCCCATACATATATCAAACAATGGTGCTTTTCAAAGAAGTAGTCCATGAGAAAAAGAATGACAACCAGAGTTTATCCTACTCTGCATGTTAATTACTCTTCACTAAGTGATACAATTCAGAGGGCATCTTATGAAACCCCCTAACAGAGCTTCGTGTCTTCTCAATGCAGCTGCTGGCAGAGGACTGGCCATTTGGAGCTGAGATGTGTAAGCTGGTGCCTTTCATACAGAAAGCCTCTGTGGGAATCACTGTGCTGAGTCTATGTGCTCTGAGTATTGACAGGTAGAAGCTTCTATTTAATCCAAGTATATTCTGAATATATACTATTGTTTTCCATGTTACTTAGAAAATAAACTGTGCAATTCAATAAAACTAAGGTATGCCAGCTTAAAATACAATTCTATTTTTATCTTCAGATATCGAGCTGTTGCTTCTTGGAGTAGAATTAAAGGAATTGGGGTTCCAAAATGGACAGCAGTAGAAATTGTTTTGATTTGGGTGGTCTCTGTGGTTCTGGCTGTCCCTGAAGCCATAGGTTTTGATATAATTACGATGGACTACAAAGGAAGTTATCTGCGAATCTGCTTGCTTCATCCCGTTCAGAAGACAGCTTTCATGCAGGTAAATTTCACTTTTTTTATTTTCCTTTCTGCTCTTGCCTTATAAATATTTAGCTATTTTTCCCCTGTTCCCCACTCCTTGGGAAACTGTTGATTTATGACTGTCCTTGGCATAAATTAAGAGTATAGATCCAAGGACTGTGGAGTTAATGGTGATCAATGACTCAAGCTGCAAGAAGCTAGATCACTACTTCTCTAAGAATCCCCTTGATCTCAGTGGCATAGATAAACCAGGTCCACATGAAAGAATTGATGTGAATTTATAGCTTTCTACCTAAAGCCATGTTAGAAGTAAAATGTTTGGTGCCACAAAGTGAAAATAGCACTCAGGCAAAAGTTTTCTCAGCAAGGCAATTTACTTCTATAGAAGGTTGTGTCTCACAATGGAGCAATGGCGAGAGCACACCAGACAAGGGAGGGGAAGGGGGTGTTATCCCTGATGTAGCTAGTTCCCACTGCTGCATCTTTCCCCTATTGGGTAGGGTTGGACCGCACAGTCTAAGTTAATTCCAATTGGCTATTTTAAAAAGAGCAGGGGTACGAGCTGGAGTGGTGGGGTGAGTAGTTTCAGCGGGAAGGACAGTTACAGAGCAGGTGGCTAAGGATGACTAAGGTCAGAGCAGGTGGCTAAGGATGACTAAGGACAGAGCAGGTGACTAAGGATGACTAAGGACAGAGCAGGTGATGAAGGATAACTAAGGAAAGAGCAGGTGATAGAGGCTAGGAGGGGGTTGTTTACTGAAACTAGGGGCAAGGAGATGTAAAGAATGAGGGAGTTAAACTTTAAAATGGAGAACAAAGAACAGGGAAGCTGAACACACTGACATATTGGTTCTTTGAAGAGGAATTTACTGTATCCTACAGCCCCATAAGGACTGACAACTACTACGTAATCTGCACAAGATAGCCCAGTAGTTGTCAGAGGAATGGATGGTCCAGCAAATATTCAGATAGAAGTCACCCTGATATGGATGGAGTCTGAATGGCAAGACTCCCCTCTCTCTGTCTTTGATGCCAAAAAGAAAGCTGCCATTGCAAGAAACTTTTCATCCTGGTCATTTATTAAAGAACATTTGATTAGGGAATAGAAAAAGAATGATGATACTCGTTTCCAGAAGATAGATCCTGAGTGTAAAAGGCTCTTCCCAACAGAATGAGTTAAGAGACATTAATGCAAAGGGGGCTGGCTTAACTATTCCCAATGATTATTTTCTATTGAATATATAAGGAGACTAAATAAAACTTTATGAACTGTATATATCATGATAAGTAAAAGAATCAAGGACATAATGTGAAATTGAAAATGAAATTGCTATTTCCTTGTTTCCTATTAGTAAAAAGAAAAAAAAAGTGCTGCCTAGGTTACATAATTTCCTCTCCAACACAGATATATCTAAAGCAATATGAAAAAGATAACAGAGAAGAAAAAGAATAAGAGATACGACATAAGTCAAAAGCAGATTTTGTCTTTTTGCGAGGTTAGATTTATATGTTACTGAGCTAAATGGTTAACCTAGACCTTTTCGTATCTGTTGTTCCCATTAAACAAACTTGCTAAAAAATGAGAACTTCATCTAAACACTAAGTTATCTTTACATATTTAGGTGTTATATTTCACACAAAAAATACTCTAAGGATAAGTTTCTTATGTGAAGACAAAGCATTGAATTACCAAATATTTCAAATTTTGCCTAACTACTTAAGTTTTTGTGCATGCTTATAACACATTGTCTTAGAGAACTGAAATATTTTTGGGAAAATTTGTTTTATTTAACATGACTATTTATTTGTTCAGTAAGTGTGGCCTGAAAGATTCTGTATGATATATACAAACTGGATCTAATTTAGAAGATAATCATTCCCTGATGAATTTTTTTAAGTTTAACATTTGTTATATAAGATTTTCTTACAGAGGAGTATTAATCGTAAAAATTCTCTCATCCCTATAGTTTTACAAGACAGCAAAAGATTGGTGGCTATTCAGTTTCTATTTCTGCTTGCCATTGGCCATCACTGCATTTTTTTATACACTAATGACCTGTGAAATGTTGAGAAAGAAAAGTGGCATGCAGATTGCTTTAAATGATCACCTAAAGCAGGTAAGAAAATACAAATATTTGATAACTCGTGGTTGAATTTATAATTATGAATATGAAAATTATGATGATGATGATGATAAACTAACATTATTATATACCAGAGCATATTTCCTTTTTCTTGTTTCTGGTAGTTTTAAATAGATAAAGAATATTTTTATATTATTTATTTGGAGATATTCTATATAATCTAAAAGGATCTAGGGAGAATCAGAACTTTTTAAAGATGAATCTCTAGTCACTTCGGTTCCACTTCACATTAACTATTCCATATAAAGCTCAGTGTCCTGAGTTTTTACATATGCCACTGACTTTTTGTAGACAATATTAAATGTCGTTTTAGAAGATAGAATGCTATGAGTAAAATGAGCCATCTTTTAAGGGTCAAACTATGGATTTATTTCAGAGACGGGAAGTGGCCAAAACCGTCTTTTGCCTGGTCCTTGTCTTTGCCCTCTGCTGGCTTCCCCTTCACCTCAGCAGGATTCTGAAGCTCACTCTTTATAATCAGAATGATCCCAATAGATGTGAACTTTTGAGGTAAGAAAGGCAAACTAGAAATGGTTTTGTAAATAAATGCCACTCAGAAGTGTTTCCATCGATCTTTTTTATAGGCAGAAAGACAGACTACCATTTTTCTAACCCTTAGGAAGTCATGGAGACTCCCAATTTTTATCTGAGGTCCTGTTGAGAGGGACAGGGAAGGGGGGGTATGAAGAACACTGGGTACAGAGAGTCAGAGTTGTCAAGATGATGAGTGAGTGCCAAGGCGGAAAATGTCAGGTCCGATTCTCCAACGCGTTTTCTAAATTTCTTCTTTTCAGCCAGCTTCAGTACTTCCAAATGAGATTTTATTTTAAAAGAGAAGAATTGGGCCTGGGAAGGGGAAATGGAGGAAAGTCAGTAGAAATGCTAGAGTTAGAGGGGGACACAGACAGAGACAGGCAGAGAATCATTGTTAGCAAAGACGAGTGATAAATTTAGAACCATTGTATATTGGCATTTTTTTTCCTTACAAAAGCACAGAAGCTACAATGACTACATGTTCAGAATAGCATATTTTTCAGACACATTTTGGGTTATTTTGTTGCAGCTTTCTGTTGGTATTGGACTATATTGGTATCAACATGGCTTCACTGAATTCCTGCATTAACCCAATTGCTCTGTATTTGGTGAGCAAAAGATTCAAAAACTGCTTTAAGGTAAGAGACTATCCCAAAATAAAAAGCTCTTTGTAATATGGCTCAAATATAAGCTTTCAAAACTGCTAATATATCTATCCAGACAGATTTAGTAAATTATCTTATAGTTTCCCTTTTATTACATCATGGATGATTTTTTTAAATACAACTTTTGCTTGTAAATCACTATAATTGTTTTTTCCTATAAATCCTAGTCAGCCACTCCCTACTGCCTCAGCCAATCAGTTACACTCATGGAATTGTTGACCAAAAAGTAATAAAAATTACATGCATTGATGTCTGATAGGCATCACATAATAAAATAAGGGCTAAACATGAATTAAAGGCCCTGTTCCCTGTTTTTGGTAGATTCTGAACTTCGCAGCTGCAATTATTATTATAACTAAATTAGTTCCTTTTTCACATGGACTGTGAGAATAGCAAGGTAAACAAAAAAAAAATAGTTTAGGTTTTACCTCTTTCTTCCTTTTTTGTATAACAGTGATGTGCTGTTCAATGTGAAATACATATAATTCCTTCTTCAGCTGCTTGCATTTTATCATCCTTCTATTCATTCACTCCTTCAACAATCTAACATGAAATAAAATATCCCCTCCCCTAATGTGAAAATCATCCATTTGTCCATGGTATTTCACTACTGGAAAGCTAAGAACGTAGCTCCCGCGTAAACACTAAGGCAGCCTATAACATTCTTCGCCCACTCATAACTCAAATTTTAGAGTTGGAAGAGAACTTCCATCAGGATCAACACCCTCATTTTATAAGACATAAAACAGTGGACTTCTCATTTTCTTTTACAAATAGAATGAACAGAAGACAAGCAGAATGAAAAAATTTTTATATTTAAAAAAACTTCAAGAAAAAAATTGAAGAAAACTGAGATGCTTTTGTACTATATAACCTTATTGTTTACCAATATTGAAAAGAGATATGAGAATACATGGCTGAAAAAATAGGAAAGCAGTATTAAATTCATTGACATGAGAAGATATTTATGTCACTGTCAAGTGAGAAAAAGCAGGTTAAATCTTCTCAGCAAAGTGGCTTAGAATAACTTGGGATGAGGTGTTTGTGAAAGTATCTACAAGGTTATGGAGTATACATACAGTACAGTCTCAGTAAAATAATTATACTCACATTCTCCAGCACATGCACATATACATGTGTATAATTTATTTATTTCATGTATGTGCAAATATTTCTGTTTTCATGGGGAAAAGTCTTGAATTATATGTTTATCAAATATTATCAAATAACCAAGAGTAAATATCAATTAAAAGTGGCTTTCTCTTGTTGAGAAATTTTAACTATGTAGGTTTTTTTCTTCTCTGCATTTTTTTAGTTAAAAAATTATCATATGCTACTACTGTGATTATATTCTTTTAAGAGGGAAAATAAAAGAGCACTGAAAGAAAGGGCCCAAGAACTCCTAATCATACAAAGAAAGTCAGAACCCTGGAGAGGAGGAAGAGTTGGGAAAGGTGACTGATGTTAACATATAATGAGTTACTTTGTTTTGTACAGTCATGCTTATGCTGCTGGTGCCAGTCATTTGAAGAAAAACAGTCCTTGGAGGAAAAGCAGTCGTGCTTAAAGTTCAAAGCTAATGATCACGGATATGACAACTTCCGTTCCAGTAATAAATACAGCTCATCTTGAAAGAAGAACTATTCACTGTATTTCATTTTCTTTATATTGGACCGAAGTCATTAAAACAAAATGAAACATTTGCCAAAACAAAACAAAAAACTATGTATTTGCACAGCACACTATTAAAATATTAAGTGTAATTATTTTAACACTCACAGCTACATATGACATTTTATGAGCTGTTTACGGCATGGAAAGAAAATCAGTGGGAATTAAGAAAGCCTCGTCGTGAAAGCACTTAATTTTTTACAGTTAGCACTTCAACATAGCTCTTAACAACTTCCAGGATATTCACACAACACTTAGGCTTAAAAATGAGCTCACTCAGAATTTCTATTCTTTCTAAAAAGAGATTTATTTTTAAATCAATGGGACTCTGATATAAAGGAAGAATAAGTCACTGTAAAACAGAACTTTTAAATGAAGCTTAAATTACTCAATTTAAAATTTTAAAATCCTTTAAAACAACTTTTCAATTAATATTATCACACTATTATCAGATTGTAATTAGATGCAAATGAGAGAGCAGTTTAGTTGTTGCATTTTTCGGACACTGGAAACATTTAAATGATCAGGAGGGAGTAACAGAAAGAGCAAGGCTGTTTTTGAAAATCATTACACTTTCACTAGAAGCCCAAACCTCAGCATTCTGCAATATGTAACCAACATGTCACAAACAAGCAGCATGTAACAGACTGGCACATGTGCCAGCTGAATTTAAAATATAATACTTTTAAAAAGAAAATTATTACATCCTTTACATTCAGTTAAGATCAAACCTCACAAAGAGAAATAGAATGTTTGAAAGGCTATCCCAAAAGACTTTTTTGAATCTGTCATTCACATACCCTGTGAAGACAATACTATCTACAATTTTTTCAGGATTATTAAAATCTTCTTCTTTCACTATCGTAGCTTAAACTCTGTTTGGTTTTGTCATCTGTAAATACTTACCTACATACACTGCATGTAGATGATTAAATGAGGGCAGGCCCTGTGCTCATAGCTTTACGATGGAGAGATGCCAGTGACCTCATAATAAAGACTGTGAACTGCCTGGTGCAGTGTCCACATGACAAAGGGGCAGGTAGCACCCTCTCTCACCCATGCTGTGGTTAAAATGGTTTCTAGCATATGTATAATGCTATAGTTAAAATACTATTTTTCAAAATCATACAGATTAGTACATTTAACAGCTACCTGTAAAGCTTATTACTAATTTTTGTATTATTTTTGTAAATAGCCAATAGAAAAGTTTGCTTGACATGGTGCTTTTCTTTCATCTAGAGGCAAAACTGCTTTTTGAGACCGTAAGAACCTCTTAGCTTTGTGCGTTCCTGCCTAATTTTTATATCTTCTAAGCAAAGTGCCTTAGGATAGCTTGGGATGAGATGTGTGTGAAAGTATGTACAAGAGAAAACGGAAGAGAGAGGAAATGAGGTGGGGTTGGAGGAAACCCATGGGGACAGATTCCCATTCTTAGCCTAACGTTCGTCATTGCCTCGTCACATCAATGCAAAAGGTCCTGATTTTGTTCCAGCAAAACACAGTGCAATGTTCTCAGAGTGACTTTCGAAATAAATTGGGCCCAAGAGCTTTAACTCGGTCTTAAAATATGCCCAAATTTTTACTTTGTTTTTCTTTTAATAGGCTGGGCCACATGTTGGAAATAAGCTAGTAATGTTGTTTTCTGTCAATATTGAATGTGATGGTACAGTAAACCAAAACCCAACAATGTGGCCAGAAAGAAAGAGCAATAATAATTAATTCACACACCATATGGATTCTATTTATAAATCACCCACAAACTTGTTCTTTAATTTCATCCCAATCACTTTTTCAGAGGCCTGTTATCATAGAAGTCATTTTAGACTCTCAATTTTAAATTAATTTTGAATCACTAATATTTTCACAGTTTATTAATATATTTAATTTCTATTTAAATTTTAGATTATTTTTATTACCATGTACTGAATTTTTACATCCTGATACCTTTTCCTTCTCCATGTCAGTATCATGTTCTCTAATTATCTTGCCAAATTTTGAAACTACACACAAAAAGCATACTTGCATTATTTATAATAAAATTGCATTCAGTGGCTTTTTAAAAAAATGTTTGATTCAAAACTTTAACATACTGATAAGTAAGAAACAATTATAATTTCTTTACATACTCAAAACCAAGATAGAAAAAGGTGCTATCGTTCAACTTCAAAACATGTTTCCTAGTATTAAGGACTTTAATATAGCAACAGACAAAATTATTGTTAACATGGATGTTACAGCTCAAAAGATTTATAAAAGATTTTAACCTATTTTCTCCCTTATTATCCACTGCTAATGTGGATGTATGTTCAAACACCTTTTAGTATTGATAGCTTACATATGGCCAAAGGAATACAGTTTATAGCAAAACATGGGTATGCTGTAGCTAACTTTATAAAAGTGTAATATAACAATGTAAAAAATTATATATCTGGGAGGATTTTTTGGTTGCCTAAAGTGGCTATAGTTACTGATTTTTTATTATGTAAGCAAAACCAATAAAAATTTAAGTTTTTTTAACAACTACCTTATTTTTCACTGTACAGACACTAATTCATTAAATACTAATTGATTGTTTAAAAGAAATATAAATGTGACAAGTGGACATTATTTATGTTAAATATACAATTATCAAGCAAGTATGAAGTTATTCAATTAAAATGCCACATTTCTGGTCTCTGGGCTGGACTGTGTGTTTCATTGTTGTGAAGAAACAGATATACAGACATGCAACTTCCCAAGGTTGATTTTCCGGGTAATAGTTTCCAATGGCCTCTTTGGTCTTCCTTTCTTTGGTTCCCTGCCTTTGGAGCACTTCATTGTTTCATCATTATTGTACCTTAGCAAAGGTGAAAGTTTGAAATGAGGTTTAGGGATTGCTCATTGCATTTCACAAGCTTTTTTTGAGTGTTTTCTATGTGAAAGATGAGATGAAATTCACAAAATGCAAGGTCCCTACTTGATAAGAGACAGTGATGATAAACTTTAATATGAGGCAAAATGAAATGAGCACTAAATAACTGCATACTGATTGCTGCAGAAGTTCACCTGTCTGTGTCTCTCAGCATGTAATCCCTTTCTTCACCCAACAAAAATAATCCAGAATTAGCAATTGCTTTTTTCCCAGACAGTAAGGTCAAACCCAGCCGAGTATTCCAGAGGTTGCTATCATTTACCCCTGACCTTTCCTGGATTTCAGCTGCCTAATTTTAGCTGGCACTTCAAAATACAAGTGTTCTGAATCCCAAGGGCCATATGAGAAGTACAGAAAAGGATAACATAGGAAATACTCTCGTAGAGCAGTTGCCAAAAAGAGCCTTTGTTTTCTTGAACAGTTAGTTGTTAAGCAATAATAATAATAATGCCATCACAATTTATTATAGTAAAAGTATGCAGAAAAAATATAATTTACATAAGCCGAAGAAAACCAAGAGATGTGCAGCTCAAAGATGTAGAGGTCCAGAAATTCAAAAATTGTACAGGCCAAGCTTATAGAAAGCAGTGACTCTGGCATGACTGACTGACTAGCAAACATTATTAGTCAGCCTTTGAAATGACACACATTTAAAAATCAAAAGATTGAATAAGTATAATCAAATTTAGAAGTCCTGTTGAACACTTCCCGGATTCAAGACTCACTTGAGCAGAGGGAATAACCCTATCATGTTAGAAAGGAAGTATGTATGATCAGAAAAACAACGAAAGTCCAAAAAGTGTGATATCCTTGATTGTGTCTGCAATTTAGTTGACCTCAAACAAGTCAGTTAACATATCAGAGCTTCAGTTTAATTATCTATAAAATATAAATATTAATATATTTACTAATTCTTACATCCAATCAATACATGTTAGTATATGTACTATATAAAATACCACCAATGTATAAGTATACAAAAATGCAAAAGGCATAGCTACTGCCCTCTGGAAACTCACAATCTAATAGAGAACACAGACACATAAACAAATAAAGGCAGTTAATACATTTTAGGTACCCAAATATAGATATGTGCATAGTAAGAATCCCGGAGTTTAGGAGAACTCATCCAAGAAGATGGTACTCAAGTTGAGCCTTAAAGGAAGTTTGCTAAGCTAAGAAGGGTTTAATGGCATTACTGGAAAAATTACTATCATCCAAGAAATGTGAAAGGGGTAAAGGAACATGGCCAGTTCAGGTGAAGGGTTGACCCGTAACATGCTGGAGAGGGGTTGTGAGAGGCAGGGCTGGAGATGCAGGCAGGTCAGGAAGAACTCACATTCTTGGATGAGTTCTCCTCAACTCCAGGATTCTTACCATCTACATATCTATATTTGAATATCTAAAACACATTAACTCCCTTTATTTGTTTATGTGTCTATCTTCTCTATTAGATTGTGAGTTCCCAGATGGCAAGAGCTATGCTTTTTACATTTTTGTATGCTTACACATTGGTGGGTAAACTATAATCATATAGCTGTTTGCTCTTTACCATGGGCTAGTGTTTCTCAAGTATCTGAAGACCATATATCACAGAGTCATTTTGGATGATTTATTAAAAATGCGAATTCCTGGCTCCCAACTCTGAACTATACAATCAGAACTCCCAGGATGGGACCCAGAAATATTTACTTTAATGAATACTTCAAGTAGCCCTTACGCACCTAAAATTGGAGAAGCGCTACCATATAGATATTTGCAAAACATTGAGTATTTTCAACAAACAGTCACAGGATTAAGTTCTGCTTGCCTAAGACTGCTTTGAAAACAGCGTAGAACATGGGCTAAAGGACTACAAGACAGAAAGCGGACAGACTGGATAAACAGCTACCACAATTAACAGGTGAAAAGATGCAGCTCTGAGAGAGGAAAGTGTGCAGGCCGGGCTGTAGAAACAGGGCAGATCTGGAAGGGCGGAGTCAGCAGGGCATACTGGCCAGATGTGAGAGAGGAAGCTCAGTTAAGAGGTTTCTGGTTAGCATGGCCATTAACCTAGACCAGGGGTCAACAAACTATGGCCAGAGGGCCAAATCCAGCCTGCTGGTCTGTTTTTGTAAATAAAATCCTATTGGAATGCAGTCAGACCCATTTGCTTATGTATCGATTAAGCTTGCCTTCCACCGTAACAGCATAGTTGAATAGTTAACAGAAACATACAAATGGCCTAAAATATTTACTATCTGGCCTTTCCAGAAAAATATTTCTGACCCCTGATTTAAATAAGAAATATTAAAGAAAAAGAGAGGCAGCAATTGAGTTGAAAGAGAAAAGAGTTCTGGGGATGTAATGAATTCCATTTGGAAAATAATGACTTAAGGTATCATAGAGCATTCACAGAGAAAATTAGGAGGCATCTCTGGGTTAAAGACACAAACTTGTTTATTATGGTTTCAAGATGCTAATTAAAGAAGGGGGTGAATAGCAATACTAGAGGAGAAGTCAAAGAGTAGAAAAAAAGGAAACAAGAGATGGAGAGTAAACTGGCAGAGGTCCCAAATGCAAGAAGACTGGGCAGAGAAGAGAAATTCAGAACAGACTGCAAGGAACAAAGAAAACTGGTGTCATGAAAGTCTAGAGGAAGGGGATGCCAAGGCAAAGGAGTAGGCTGAGAATCTGAGCAAAATGAACAGAAAAGAGATCTTTGTAACTGACAATCTGAAAAACATCAGAGACCTCATCTAAAGCAGTTTGTGTGTATGCATGTTGTGTGTGTGTGTGTGTGTGTGTTTGCGTGTGAAAGAGAGAGACAGAGGACAATATATCTCTGTTTTCTTATTTCCTGTACATATATATATATATACATACACATATATATATTTTACACATATATGTATCATATATAATGTAACTTTAGTAGTAGAGAAGGATTAATGGTTAAATATAGTGGATTAAACATATATGTGTTTTTCCTCATCCTTCTTCTAAAATTCCACTAAAATGACAAAAAAAAATAAATATATAAACCCACAAGGACAGAGATGAAAGAGATGACACCAGCCAACTAGAAATGTTAACAAAATTGTGTAAGATGGAAACCAGGTAGATGGACAACTTATTCAGATTTTTGCTTTCTCTACTAAATGTCTATCCAAGAAGCAAGGAGGCTGACATGGTTCACAACCCAGACCTGCCTCAGGAAGGGAGGCAGCAGCTTCCTTGGAAGGGAAGACAAGGGACTGAAGTAAGGCCAAAAATGAAAGAATTGATTCTAAGTCTAACAGATCCTGGCGTCCATAATTTCCCTATATAATCAGTATTGTTGAAAGTCAGATGACTTATTTTCTGAAGAGGTTGTGCCAGATTTTCTCTGGACTTTGGACTTCATCACAGCAAGAACAGCTGAAGGTAGAAATGTGGCCCCTGTCTGCAATAAAAAAGATTTAGCAAAGACTTGCCCCATAAACAGTGAGATCTTTAGCCCACATCCCTTTTAGCAGTGACTAGCAGCCTTATATGTCCCAGCAAGAGAATGGAGATTCTGTTCTGAAAAAATAACCTGCCCCAGGGAAAAAAATACCCACAAATATCAACATCAGAGTGAGAAGGGTTCTCACTGAAATGGGCTATGTTCTTGCTCCTTTCTGCCCACGTACATAGAATTTCCCAGTGGCCTCTTTGTGCCACATTTTGAAACGTGAATGAGTAGGCAAAAGCCAGTAGACCTTTTAGGAAACACAGAGCAATAAGAAACAAGAAGCAAAGCCAGTGTGATATATGAGAAAAAGGAACATTCAGAGATCGAGAAAGTGCTCTTGGAAACTGAAAATATGCTAGGAGAAATAAAACACAGTAAAAGAGTTTCAACAGTCAAAGTTGAGAAAAGTAGAATATGAAGTTACTCTGCCAAAGTGTGTTTCCACAAAACTAAGGAAGAAAATGAAGGAATCCAGGAAACAGGTGACTCCAACACAGGAAATACTCAAAAGCTATTCCCAAGATGATAGAGGGGAAAAAAAACCTAGCCTGTCTATGAAGCAATCAGTCAATCTGTCTTGTTAAAAGCAGAAGAGCAGAGGAAGAGTATCTCCAAGGAAACATACAACATATGGGAGTTTGTAGTCCCATGAGAGCATCCGAGGATAAATGAATGACAGCTACATAGAACAGCAAGCAAACAAGAAGAAATTAGACAATTGTTAGTCTCCCCCAAAATTCTTGCTTATATAGAAAAAATATATATAATCATAGCTATATAGCTTGGATATGAGCAAATTCACCTTGTCTAAATAAACACTAAAATTGTTTTAAACAAAACTGTGACATGAATAAATTGAAAGAAAAAGTAGAAGGAAAGTGTGCTTGATAGTTATGGCTTAAGAAAGTCACATCTTAATTTTCAATAGTAAAAATCCAACATTCACTTTGGGAAACAATTGAGGAGCATCTAGGAAAGTTGAAGATGCTAATCCTATGATTAAAAACATTCCACTTATAGAGAAACCACTTGTATGAACAGGATATAGACACCAAAATATTCACAGAAGCATTGTTTCATCCAAAAATGAAAACAATTCAAGCTCCATCAGCTATAGTTTAAATAACTAAATTTTGTGGTATATCCATACAATGGAACCCTCTTCAACAGGTTTCTTGACCTCAGCACTATTGACATTTTGGCCCAGAAAACTGCTTGTTATGGGGGTTATCCTGTATTTGGTAGGATGCTAGGAACATCCCTAGCCCCAACCAGTAGACACCAGTATTGTTCCCCCCTCCCCAGGTGTGACAACCACAATGTTTCCAGACATTGTCAAATGTCTCCTAGGGGAGAGCTGCTCCCATGGAGAACTGCAGCACTACTGTATGAGCCCATTAATATAAAGTTCAAAATCTGGGAAAACCAAGCTCTATTTTACAGAGATGCATACATAGTTGATTTAAAAAATAAGCAAAGGAAGGCAAGGAAATGTATTATACAAATAAGGACAATTGCTATTCTTGAGAGACAGAGGACAGTTGTGATTTGGAAGAGATGTATGGGGATCTTTTGGCCTTGGAGCAGTAATTATGATGATGATGATGATGTTATTAATTTATAAGTTTATTCTTCATGTAAATGTACTTGTTAATGTGTAATACAGTTATATGTGTAATGTGTAATTCAGTTATAATATGTGTAATGTTATATGTGTAATGTGTAATAATATACGTATAATATGTGTAATGTTATCTGTGTAATGTGTAATATAGTTATATGTGTAATGTTAATGTGTAATACAGTTATAATACGTGTTTTATAAATAATAAAATTTTATAATTATTTTTAAGTATACATGTCTTATGTCCTTTTCTGTATGTTACGTTTAAAAAATTTGAAAGTAAAAAAATAAGCATATAAGTAAGATCTAATTGAAAAACAAAAAGTAGCAGTATAAACATATTATTTAGAAATGTGATGAGATATGCCTGCAAAAGCTGGGGGGAAGAAGAAGAAGAAAGTATTGTTTTAGGAGTTTAGAATTCACAAGAGCTAAAGGGGAGGTACAGTGAGCTGTTATTATTCCATACGAGCATTGTTGCAGTCCATGTAGTACATATATTAGTTTAATAAATGAAATAAATTATTTTTTAAAATGGAATAGTGGTCGAGTGGGGTATGTGGACACATTTCATGGATCATGAGCTCTGTGGCTATTTAAGCTAGATAGTTTATGTGCTTATCAATCACAATGGTGTTGATTATATTCTGCATGTCTGGATTCTTTTGGGTTGGCAAAAGTATCCATAGGTTATTTTACTAAATGACCAATATAGAAGCATGTTGCAGTGATTACTAAAGACATTGTGCAAACAAATCTCAAAAAGGATTTTAAAACTATATTACTTTCAATATAATAGGCAAATTTAAATGCCTCACTAAATTAATTATTGAAAGCTTAAACTTTTGGCAAAATCAAAAGAAACAGAGAAAAAGAAAACACTGATGGGTAATTGAAAGTGAGTTTAATTTCATCACATAGCAGGTGGTACTAGAAAAATTATTTTTTCTAAAAGGGTGAAACATAAGTGTAATCAATAATAATTAGGCATCGTCATCCTAGTACACTTTCAGGCCAGGATATTTTTAATTATTCCAGTTGCTTAACCTGACATTTTGGTCATGTTTGGAAACTCATTGTATAAGTATATATTAAAAGATGGTAGAGAAAACCAAGTTACAAATCTGGGATTAAGTAACACTTCATTTTTTTCCTTTCAGCAGATCCAAAATAATCACTCACACAACATGGAGTTTGGTGAACCATGATAGGAAAAGCACAGAGTCACTTGGAATCTGTGGCACTTAAGAAAGTCTTCTTAGGGTAAGTGACATTTCAACTGGAGTCTAGAGTGAGTAAGTTGGCCAGTGGGGAGCACAAGAACAGAGAAATATTTCCCAGGAGAGGGGACAGCATGCACATAACCCAGAGATGAGAAAGAACATGACTTCTGAAAGGTGTGTGTGTGTGTGTGTGTGTGTGTGTGTGTGTGTGTGTGTGTTCAACATAAGCAAAGTCAGAAAGGGTCTTATATACTGAGGTAAGAGGTTCAGATTTGACCCAGGTAGTGATGGGGAGACACTAAAGTCTTTTAATCTAGGGATGTGCATTTAGAAAGATCATCATGCATGCACTGGAGAAAATGGAGGAGAACAAATTCCAAGGAGTTCTAGAAATCCATTAAAAGGCCATAGGCGATTTAGGTGAGAGACACTGTCCAATAGATTAGGGTAATATCCTAGTCATGGAAAGATGTAGCTGGATTAAAAAGATGTTAGAAGGTAAATCAATAGGACCTAGTGATAAATTAAAAGTGGGGGTAAAACAAAGGAAAGAGTCAACGATGTATTCGAGGTTTCTAGCACGGGTGATGCTATTCACTGAAGGGGAAAATCACAAGGAAAAGCCAACCTATAATTACTGTGAAAGGTATGTGTGTCAGGGGTGAGGGAAAAACATGTATTTCACTTGGCATATCTTATACTTCTGGGACTTGGAAAACATTTGTCTTTTTTTAATACATATGAATCTTGAGAGAGTTTATCTACTGATGGAGATAAACTACCAGAAAGAGAGGTTGAACATGCAAAAGAAAGGAGACATTTGAGAGATATTTCAGAGAAGGAAGCCCTGACAAAGTTTGAGGAAGTGGGATTGTAGTCATAGAAGGAGAGATTGGGTTTAAATAGGAGGGGAGACAGAGATAACTCTATCCTCATATAAACAACTGCCTAGATTAATCTTGGTTTTAGACTCCATTTTCTAGCTTGCAGCTTCTAAAAATTTATTGATACAAGTAATCATATATTTCCAAAATACATTTTGAAGTACTAAAATAAATAATATTTAAGTTGTTAATTTTATATAATGGCTTTCTTACACATAATAAATTATATTACGAACAACAAGGACTATACTGAGATTATTGTAAAAGAAAGTTACTTAATTGCTTTCTATACACATTGGTTGGCAGCTTGAGTTTAGATTGTAAATTCCCTGGAAGTTTGAGATTATGCTTCTACCTCTTTTGTAACTCTCAGTGGTACCTTACCATGATATTTTGCACAGCTGTTGTTGACCTTCAGCATATGGTCATTTAAATGCAGATTTTTTTAATTATGGCTTGAGTAAGCAGGAAAATTTAAAAATTAGTGACTGATGACAAATATTAAATTCTAGGTCAGATAGCATAATAAATATTGATAGCTAAGCAATCCATTCAGCATTCCAGATATATCAGGAGCTGTGTAGCTTTAAAAGGTTTTCAGAGAGTGAGACTACATTTCATTTAAAAAGGAAATTGATTTTGGCTGTCATAAAATTATTCCTAGATTGTCAGTATTAGATATGTGGTCTAGCCTTGAGAGTACAGGACTGAAGCTTCTCCTTCATGTCCTTCCTTCACATGTAATTTTTCAACCTAATACAAATAGTCTTTCAGCCCTACTGTTTCACTAAAACAACTGTGTCAAGATCACCCAAAGCTCAGTGTTGTCAAAGTCACTAGGTGTTACTCTGTCCTTGAGACCTCTAAAAAACAATCAACACAGTTTATCACAATCTCCTGCTTAAAGTGCTCTTATCATGATTCCATAACATGTGTCTGGTTTTCCTCTTGCTTCATTGCCCAACCCTCAGTAGACTCCTCTGTTTCCTTTCACAGCCTCTATCATCCTCATGGAGGCTTGGTCCTGGACGGGTTCTTTTCTCTCTCTACCCTCTCTTCATAGCTGGTCACATCCATTCCATTGAATCACATCCATTCCATTGAATTCCATTGAATCCACAGCATTGAATTATCTGCTGACCTCCTCCACATTTATATCACTAACCCAACCCTCTCCTGGAGCTCCAGATTCATCTTCACAACAGCCTATTTGGCATCTCCACTTGGGTGTTTCATGGATATATTATAACTACATATCTAAAATATAACTCTGATTTTCTGACTAAACTTGTTTTCCACCTCACCATTCTCAGTGTATCCCTATTCAGCAAAGGATGCATATTCTAGTTCTCTATGTTGAATCACTGGGGTCCTACCAGCCACTCAGTGATTCAACATAGAAAACTAGAATATTGCCTTTGATTCCTTCCTTTTTCCTCATTTTTTTCTTACAAAGCAATGGAAGTTCTACTTCTCAATTCTATTCCAATATGTCTCTCAAATCCATGCACTTCTTGCCTTCTCTCCTCCGCCTACGTGGATAAAGCCATCATCATTTTGATATTGCGACTGTCTACTGATTTATCTCTCTATTTCCACATGTATAAAATAGTAACATCTTAAAGTGTGTTTTGGATCATGTCACTATCCTCAGTTAAACCCCTTAATAAACTCTTATTGTAATTGGAATAAAATCCCAAATCTTTAACATAACCTATAAAGTCTGCAGATGTGGACTTTTTCTATCTCTTCAACAACATCTTGAGTCACTTTCCTTTTTTCTTCCCATTATATAGGCACAGTGGTCTTCTTGTGGATCCTCAAAGCCAACCACTTTCCTGCCTCAGGGCTTTTGCACATACAGAATGTTTAGGACACTCTCTCTCTTTCCACTGCTCGCATGGCTAGATACTGTTGTTTGTTTTTACTTTCATGTCTCAGCTTAAATGCCATGTCCTCTAAAGGTGACTCCTCCTCTAAAGGGGACATTTAAGCTAAGAGTCAAAGAAAAAACCCTCCTACTGAAAGATTTTTATTTTTTCTGTCTGAGCCTTTAGCAGGTTTCCTTCGTAACTCTTACCACAATTTGTGATTTCTTTATTCTTTGTTTGCTTACTTGATTTGGAGGATGGAGGTCATGTTCTCCTGGGCAAAACATTTTAAAGGCAGGGACCATGGCTACCTTGTTGACCATTACACACTTGGTACAAGTGCTCAAAAAAAATTATTGACTGAATGAAACACTCCATAGAAAAATTACTCTCTGAAATAATTGCAAGACAATTGTTTATTCAACCTTAAACTTTCTCTTGTTCTGTATAAACAATTCAGCTACTTAAAAACTTCCAAAAAAATTTTTTTCCCTCTAAATTGCTTGGCTTTGTATTCCTTCCTTGACTTGCTTGAACTGCTTTATTTTATTCATTTACTCTAGTCAATGAGAGAGCAGTGAGCAGAGATAATCCAGTACTGTGCTTTTTCACCTTTCCTCAAGCCTAGAGCCCATTCTAGACACAGTACGGAATATTCTAGGAAAATACCACATTTTACCTGCCATAAATATAATGACACTAATTCAAATCACCTGCAAGAGCAAATAGCCTTTATTTTATGGAAAAGAATGATGATGGATGTTATAGTAAAATGAGATTTATTTTTCAACTGTCTTCTGTAAAACAATTGCTTGCCTAAATTCATACATACACACCCACAAGATACCTAATATAACCAACACTCTGTCTAACAAAACGTTTTAAGTTTACCATTACCAAGAAAAGTAGGAACCGGGAAAACATCTTAGATAATAGAATTAGATAATTTGTTTCCAGGACTCTTGCTTGAGAAATTATTTTTTGAATGTCAACTTTAAGTTTTCAGTCAGAGTTAAACCAATGTCCATAGGTCAAGGCACAACAAATAGAATAATAAATTGAGATAAACTCCAACATATCAATAACAAATTATAGGCCATTCAGCACACAACAGCAAATGGGAAGAAATAAATCAGGGCAGTGTCAGTCCAGAGAACCCAGCCACTGTGTGTTCACAATAAGCTCCCTCTAATACAAATGACCAATTAGGGGTAGCAAGGGGAATAGCCTGCTTTTCTTATCTCTAATGTTCACCCCCAAAATGTAGCATCTCTTAAAAAATACTTCCACAAAATTATCTAGATACAACCTTTAGCTCTGTTACTGAGGAAAAGGAGGAATTGGTCAAAATGATTTCTAGTGTGTCATTTTCCAAATATTGTGTTTCCTAAGACATAGACTGTACCAAAAGTGGGAGAAGGCAATAAGACCACATGTAGCATAAAATCAAAAGGAGAAAACAAAATCCGTATATTGTGTGTTTTTTTTGCCTATGCAGAGATTTCTAATCATTATGTGGTGTGAAAATGTAGATGAGAAAAAGTGATGTGAAGAAATCTGTCCCTTTTGTCCCACGTGCAAATATTAATAAGCTGACCTCATGTTGCTATTAACTACTACTTACAACCAGAGTCTACACATAATCATGCCTTTTAAATTGTGGTATTTATAAGTTTAGCAATGAGAGAAATTCTTCTAACTACCAACCCACCCCACCTCTACGTCAACACATGCATTTAACTATAAACAGACTCCCCACCTCAAACTTGGTGAAGTGTTTTTAAAGCCCAACACTAGATTAGGAAATAAAGCCCGTTTCTTTCTCTGAGCAGCAGCCTCCTTTATCTAACAAGTTGTAGCATGATTTTCAATCTGGTTTTCTCAAATAAAAATACCTCCCTGAAAGTCCTGTAAAACCCCTAAGATGTAAGTAGCAAATTTTCCCTTCTTTCCATTCATTCAAATGGAAGCCTTTCCTTTTGAGATAATCTATGAAATTTTAGAATCATACTTGCATAAGAACATATGTGCATCCAAATCCCATAAACAATATCACAATAACCTGAAAGTGTATGATTTAAAATTTTTGTTCTTATTGGCCACACTGGAAGTGTTGTCTCATTTGGCATGCCAAACAGTGCTGAATGCCCAAGTGTCCTCAAATCACCTAAGTCTTACAATTGTCTGTGGATACCAGGGCACACAGCACTGTTTGGCATGACAAATGAGACAATTCTCCCAGTGTGGCCATCTACTTAAAAGTCAACTCTTCCAGACTACCCTATATGAAATAGCAACCACTCCCTGCTTGGTATTTTCTACCTGCCTTTCCTGGTTTTATTTTTCTCTGTAACAATGTTTATCAGATCTGCCACATAATTGATTTGCTTATTTTGTTGTCTATCTTCTTCAGCTAGAATCTCAGCTTTATGAAGGCAAGGACTATGAATCTTTGGTTCACTGCTCTAACCCTAGAACCTGGAACAGTGCCTGAAACAGAGTAGATACACAATAAATATTGATTGAGTTAATCCATTCATTCACCAAGTGTTTATTATGTACTTATTGTGTTCCAGGCCAAGAGTTGTTGAGTGTTGTTACCCAAGATTACATGAGCGATTGGCCACAGAGCCAGAATGAGTGCACAGGTCTCTCCAATGCCTCTCCTATGTTCTCTCCAGTAGGTTCTACTGTCTCCTGCTTGGGAACTACTATTTCTGGTAATTTCCTAGATGAATAAACAGATTTTTTCACAACCTATTTAACTGAAAAGTTGCAACGTGACACCCACATGGCATATCATATTATTCTACATTCTTTAAATCAAAAAGTAAGAAGACAATAGACTACATAGTGAAAAAAAAATCTGCATTTTCAAGTGCATCAAAGAAATGTAAAATGATGAAACTAAATTTTCCTGTTTCTTTGCATTTTGACATTGGAATATGGATAAGTGTCCTGGTCCCTTTGAAAGGTATGAGACAGCAAAGACTCGGAAACAGGAAAAGTTATTTTATTTTTTCCTGGTAATGTTTTTCAACTGAACAAGTAAACATGAGTATATCTGCTTCCTGAACATTGCATAATAACAACTTTAAAACTGCCAACTGAAAAAAAAAAAAAAAACCATTGATCCCTGAACAACATGGGTTTGAACTGCACAGGTCTACTTGTATGCAGATTAATTTTTGTCCTCTGTCATCCCAGAAACAGTAAGACCAAGCCCCCTCTTCCTCCTCTCTTAAGCCTATTCTATATGAAGATGATGAGAATGAAGATCTTTATGATGATCCACTTCCACTTATTGAATAGTAAATATATTTTCTCTTTCTTATGATTTTCTTAATAACATTTTCTTTTTTCTAGCTTACTTTATTGTAAGAATACAGTATATAATACATATAACATACAAAACATGGTTTCAACAACTGTTTATCAGTAAGGCTTCTAATCAACAGTGGGCTATTATTGGTTAAGTTTTGGAGAAGTCAAAAGTTACATGTGGATTTTCAACTGAGCGAGAGGTCTGTGCCTCTAACCCAGGGTTGTTCAAGGATAAACTCTCTATCCTTTTATTGCTATTTTAAGCCTCTGAATAACTTCAGATCTAAGAAGTAAGTTGTCTCAGTAATAAACAACATCATTTAAAAACAATTTATATAACATTAAGCTCTACTTAAATCAATCTTTTCTGTAATTCAAAGAATTAATGGCATCTTCATAAGGTATGTGAGGTATAAAAAATTTATTACAAATTTATAAGACAGAAACAGAGACACACACTTTTTTTATATATCATTGGACACAATGTACATTTTGAATGCAATTTGAATTCTCTACTTCTTTTAGGTACCTGCCAAAATCCTAGGAATATAAGAGTAAAAATATAAGAAAGAGTAAAAAAGTATTATATCTCTTCTCTAGAATTTACTTCTCTCCATTTTTCTTTAAAAGAAAATAGAAATGTATGTTTAGGGTAAAAATGCCATTCTACCATTCTTTAGAGTTTAACTGGTGTTCTATAGATAATCAAAGTGTACTAATAGGCAGGAAGGTTAAATTTCAACTTTTGAGACTACAAAAGTTACTTCAAGTAATTTCTGGGCTAATTTCTCAACACTTATAAAATCCTTTGATCATATTCTGCTTGTTCACCTTTTATCCTAATCCTAACAGCTTTTTGTTTATTTATACCAATTTCCCTATGGGAAAGCATGGATACCTTTACATTCTTATTTTACCCATGATATTATCAGATGCTCTAGGTTATTCAAAGTATGTCCCAGGGTAAATGACTGTTAACAGACAGAGCTCATTTCATCACAAAAAATAAAGAAGAATCATCAGAGTTCTGAAAAATCTCACCTTGACATCTATTGAGTCTTTCCCAGCTAATCTCACTAGAGTATTGTAAGACAATTATTCCTATATATAAAAAAAAATATGTATTTGACAGACTCCACAGTATCTGGTTCAGTGATAGGTATATACTATATGTCGCAAAGGTTGGTGAATATATAAAAGAAGTCCACTCATAATGAGAATATGATAAGAATGGCTCCTCCTGAAAGATTTTATTATAAAACCTATAGGCATTTTTATCTTAAATTGAGTTTAAAAAAAAAAAAGAAAAAATCTCAATTCTGGCCGGGCGCAGTGGCTCATGCCTGTAATCCCAGCACTTTGGAAGGCCGAGGCGGGTGGATCATGAGGTCAGGAGATCAAGACCATCCTGGCTAACACGGTGAAACCCCATCTCTACTAAAAATACAAAAAATTAGCTGGGTGTGGTGGCGGGTGCCTATAATCCCAGCTACTTGGGAGGCTGAGGCAGGATAATGGCATGAACCCAGAAGGCAGAGCTTGCAGTGAGCGAGATCAGGCCATTGCACTCCAGCCTGGGCGACAGAGCAAGACTCTGCCTCAAAGAAATAAACACACAAACAAAAAAACTCTCAATTCTTTATGGTATAATCTCTGACTTACAAAAATCCTTGGATTATTAGTAACACTTAGGTTCTTTATAAATTTTATTTAAAATACTATTCATTTGTTTTGAGTTTTCCTAATGCCAACTATTTAATAACAATGGCAAAATCCATGCAATGAAAAAGAAGAAAACCTTCCTAGTTTGAACAAAACTATTTACTGGCTAGCCATATGTAGAAAGCTGAAACTGGATCCCTTCCTTACACCTTATACAAAAATTAATTCAAGATGGATTAAAGACTTAAACGTTAGACCTAAAACCATAAAAACCCTAGAAGAAAACTTAGGCATTACCATTCAGGACATAGGAATGGGCAAGGACTTCATGTCTAAAACACCAAAAGCAATGGCAACAAAAGCCAAAATTGACAAATGGGATCTAATTAAACTAAAGAGCTTCTGCACAGCAAAAGAAACTACCATCAGAGTGAACAGGCAACCTACAACATGGGAGAAAATTTTCGCAACCTACTCATCTGACAAAGGGCTAATATCCAGAATCTACAATGAACTCAAACAAATTTACAAGAAAAAAACAAACAACCTCATCAAAAAGTGGGTGAAGGACATGAACAGACACTTCTCAAAAGAAGACATTTATGCAGCCAAAAAACACATGAAAAAATGCTCACCATCACTGGCCATCAGAGAAATGCAAATCAAAACCACAATGAGATACCATCTCACACCAGTTAGAATGGCAATCATTAAAAAGTCAGGAAACAACAGGTGCTGGAGAGGATGTGGAGAAATTGGAACACTTTTACACTGTTGGTCGTACTGTAAACTAGTTCAACCATTGTGGAAGTCAGTGTGGCAATTCCTCAGGGATCTAGAACTAGAAATACCATTTGACCCAGCCATCCCATTACTGGGTATATACCCAAAGGACTATAAATCATGCTGCTATAAAGACACATGCACACGTATGTTTATTGCGGCACTATTCACAATAGCAAAGACTTGGAACCAACCCAAATGTCCAACAATGATAGACTGGATTAAGAAAATGTGGCACATATACACCATGGAATACTATGCAGCCATAAAAAATGATGAGTTCATGTCTTTGTAGGGACATGGATGAAATTGGAAGTCATCATTCTCAGTAAACTGTCGCAAGAACAAAAAACCAAACACTGCATATTCTCACTCATAGGTGGGAATTGAACAATGAGAACACATGGACACAGGAAGGGGAACATCACACTCTGTGGACTGTTGTGGGGTGAGGGGAGCGGGGAGGGACAGCATTAGGAGATATACCTAATGCTAAATGACGAGTTAATGGGTGTAGCACACCAGCATGGCACATGTATACATATGTAACTAACCTGCACATTGTGCACATGTACCCTAAAACTTAAAGTATAATAATAATAAAATAAAAAAAAAATAAATAAATAAAAATTAAAAAAACTATTTACTGATAGATTCTCTGTTGCTGAATGGGGATTTTGGAGGTAATACAGTCAGTGATTTCCTTAATACAGATTCTGAGGAATGTGTAACTGTATTAACCACAAAAGAGGGAAATCACCATCAGGAGAAAACAAAACCTTAGGAGCTTGGCTTCCATCCCATTTCAATCAGAGCATATCCTCTTATTTCTGATCATTTTATTGGGGTTCTAGGTAAAATATTTCTTCTACTAAACAAAGTATGAAATTATTCGGTTATTTTACCATTCCCATTTTATTCTATGGATAAGGCAACTAAGTCCCAGACCTGGTCAAGATCTTGCGATTAGTGATTGAATATGCACAATAACCCAAGCATTCTGACTTCCAACCCCAAATTCATTTCATTACAACAACCTGCTTTCCCATTTAAAAAAAATTCATTTGAAACACAAACAATATGGACTAGGTGTACCATCGACCTTTCCAAAGTATTTTGGCTATGTACTGACAACTAAGGGCAGCAGGGCAAACATGACCAACTCTCAGTTAGTTATCACCATGGAATCATTTACCAAAGATGAAGCTTGAAAAAAGCACCCACTTTCCCTCTATCATATGACCTATTGATGACCTTCTAGCTAGACCCAAGGAATCAATAGGAAAATGCCCCTCAGTTGTCCTGGGACACTAAATGGAAAGAGCATAGGCACAATCTCATTTCCCAGATCCCTGAATCCTAAGGGACAAAATGGCTTCTTGTGAGGTTGGGAAACAAGATAAGTGGTAATATTTTTATTTCAGGAAATAGAAAAGACTTCTGGAGTAAAGATACATTGCAAACACACTCTCAAGTTAATACTTGTGAGTAAATGCTCATGCACACCCACTAGAATGGCTATAATAAAAAATTAGACAATAACAAATGTGGATGAAGATGTGAAGTTAGAACCTTCATATATTGCTGGTGGGAGTGTAAAATGGTGTAAACACTTGGGAAAAGAGTTTGACAGTTTCTTTAAAAGTTGCACATAAATGTATATCATGACCAAGTAATTCTACTCCTAGGTTTCTACTCAAGAGAAATGAATACATATGCTCACATAAATAATTGTACACAAGCTTTGTTTATGGCAACCTTGCTCATAATACCCCAAAACTAGAAACACCCCATATTTCTACCAGTTGGTGAATGGATAAACAAAATATGATATATCCATACAACAAAATTTTATTCATCAACAGAAGAGAATAAGTTACTGATAAATCGAATACCATAAATGAAGCTCAAAAACATTATGCTACATCAAAGCCAGATACAAAATTCAGATACAAAGCCAGATATGAAATCTACAAAAGGCAAATCAGTTCAGACAATGAGTGAGTCAGTGGTTGGTCACCTAAGGTTGATGTCAAATGGACACAGAATTCTTTCTGGGGTGATGAGAATGTTCTAAAAATGGATCATGACAATGATTGCAAAATTTTGTAAATTTACTAAAAGTAATTAAATTGTATATTTAAGTCAGATAAATTTTATGCTATGTAAATTAGACCACAATAAACCTGCTTTTAAACAAAGAAGTAAACATTGACAAAGAATGAGTAAAGTCTGCAGATAGGTACAGCATGCAGAAACTCCAGAATGTCACCAGTGATCCAAGTCAGGCTTAAATCAACTTTAAGGTAACAGGCTAGAAAAAGCAAATATTTTGCTATCAAAAGATTCTTCATGCAGAATTTTTCATGCAGAGTCCAAGGTAAGATCAATACCTTACTTTCTCTTTATTGAGCACCCTGCATAACGGTTGTGTGTAAATGGGAATTTTGTCCTGCCAGAAATCAGACCTGTTCTGAAGCTTCTTGAATAGTAGTGAGTCTTCTCACACATCTATACACCATAAACTCTGCCAAGCCCCATCACAATGCTGGGCACAGTGTAAAACTGCATTTTTGTTTGTTTGTTCATTCTGTGTTGGCCTAGTTTTCCGGCCCTAAGTAAAAGCCAATTAAGTCCATACCCCAACCACGTCCCTTGTCCAGCTGTCACACAAGAGCCCTAATCACCCCAGGGCCAAGTACCACACAATTAGGAATGGTCCCTATGTATTAGTCTGTTCTCAGGCTGCTAATAAAGGCATACCCGAGACTGGGTAATTTATTAAGGAAAGAGGTTTAATTGACTCACAGTTGGGGAGGCATCACAGTCATGGCTGAAGGTGAATGAGGAGCAAAGTCATGTCTTTGGTGGCAGGCAAAAGAGCTTGTGCAGGGAAACTCCCCTTTACAAAACCATTAGATCTCGTGAGACTTGCTCACAACCACAAGAACAGTATGGGGGAAACTGCCCCCATGATTCAAATATCTCCACCTGGCCCTGCTCTTCACATGTGGGGATAATTACAATCCAAGGTGAGATTCAAGTGGGGACACAGCCAAACCATATCACCCTATATGCCTCACAGCCTAAAATTACTCAAATTAGCCAAACCACAGGGAGCCCAGAAACCTAGATAATCCCACCCCTTTGCCATACATAAGCTGTCCCCAACAGCTCCAGCTTGCCTGTCCCCTAGAGCAATACACGTATGGCCCCATCTAGCAGCCTTCTCTCCTTCAGAGTTGTATGTAGCAAAAAGTTCTGCTTTTTATCTATCTACATGTCATTATGTTATGTTCTGCCATCAAAAGTTTCTCTAAATCATATAAAACAACAGAGCCGATGCCTTATGACTAAGGAAGGAGATATCTACATAGACCCTTTTATCATCAGGACTTTGGAATACACTTTTTCCAAAACTTTTCATGTGCTAAGGACTTTCATTAAGTCAGTCTAACTGGTCTGGAAGTATCTGCCCTGAATTTTCTCTCCAATATCTTATCTAACAACTCTCTCTAAAATATTTTTAATTATTTATTCTCAAACAAAAGGGCAAGTAATCAGAACTGATTTTGACAAAGAGCCTATTAATATGCTTTTATTCTTTTTTATTTTTCTTTAAACACAGTAACTATTTTCCCAGGATTTTTCTTTTATCCTAGGAGACTTTTGACAAAAATGAGAAATCTCTAATATTGAGGCAGTCCACCTAACCTCTTTTCTAATACAACTAGACACATGGCATTTTCGTGCTTATAAAATTTGAAACTCAGTTTTTAAAACCTGAGTTATACACTTACAAACTGACAAAAAATCATTCATTTCCTTCAGGACTGACTGGTGTACCTGCTCTTTAGAGAGACTTTGGAAAATTTAAAGTATTTGTATCCTGGCTTCTGTCTTTCTTCCAAAAAGCTGAATGTTATGGTTACAAGGTATTGGTTGAGTAAGTAGCCTTTAGTGGCTCCAGATTTTCTTTCGTAAACTCTTACATGCAAAAAGTCAGCAGTGTGACGTACTTTAATGAAGAGGAATGTGCTGTTTATTCTCTTTTCAAGTTTGCCTGGCAGATAGTATCACTCTCCTCTCTCACAAGGCTGACTTTTCAGATTGTTCACTTTTACAGGAGATTCAACAAACAAAGCATATAGGCAATAAGATGTCTATCAGAAGAAGTTTGTCTGATCCTCCATCTGCTCCAATCTCTACTTGTTGATTTACAATTGTTCTCAACTACTTTCAGACTAGCTTTCCAAACATTCACAGTAATTCTAGGAGCTAGGGGTTGAGATTGAATGTGAGGTATCTCACATAGCAAAGAATACCCAGTAGGAGTTAAAGATGTTAAAACCCATTCAAATAAGAATTAGACTTACAGAGATTTATTCTTTCCACCAGACAAAATTCATTTGCATTGTCATAAACAGGAATCATCTGCATTGCTATGGACCTCCGAAGACTCATTTAATTAAGTCATCAAATAAACTATCTGAGAGAAAACTGCTGATAGAGATAACTTTAGACTTAAGGCCCCATAAGTCCTAAAATATCCCATTTACTAGTCTGCAAAGTGCTAGAGATTTTTATACTGAGATTATGTTTTTTAATATAGTTATTATTAATATCTCCAGAATGTTCTTGCTAAAAAGCACCACTGTCAGGAAGAATAGAATATATTATTAGCATAGATGAGTTTATGGAATTTTTATAGAGAATAAATTCTGACAGAGCGTGACCTGGCCAGCCTAATTATCCAAAAAACTTTTTTGACAAGAGCAAATATTAAAAAGCCTTATTCCTGTCTATACTCATTTATTTGCACAAACACTAGAGCTTTACTGTGACTAGCACAGCTATAGTCAAAAATTTGGTATAAACCAGCCACGCCTGGCATAGACCCTGAAATAGTTATGGATATTATACTTAGACCAACTTTATTTCCACATGAGATTTGAGGTAGTCCACACACACACACACACACATACACACACAAATGTAAGCTAAAGAAGTCCATAATTTAGAAATAAAAAACTATCAAAAACCTTAAGAAAATAAAAAAATCCAGAGCTATATCTTTTCTATGAATGATGTAATTGGTTACAAGCTGCCTAACTTATATGTTGTTGGTATGTCATTTTTTAGTACTAAAAAAACAAACAAAATCTTAAGATTTCATCAGGAAAGAAAGTCTTCATGGGTTCTATGTTATGGAAAATTTTTCAAACGGAATATACTCAGGAGACATTGACTAATATAAGGGCCAAATCCTAAACAAGCTAAAAGCAACTGCAGAATGATAGCTTATATGACGGCATTATATATAGATCCCTGAAATTATGTTTTTCCAATATTTGTAAAAGAACAATTCCCACGAACAACTATCAACATTCTGAATGAAGAGATAAATTGGATAACCATATACATGTACCTACTCCACCCCCTAAAAAAAGATAAGTGTGTACACTCTCATGGAAATTTTTTAAATCATACTTTTAAAATGAAAAACATTTTGAAGTACATTTTGAGTAAGTGCAAATTTTATCTGAGTCCTCTTTTGCAACAGCTTGACTTCAAGTTCATCCTCCACTCCGTAATCAATGTATGTTTTTCGACTTGGTATATGCAATGATAAATATCAATGTCATTGGTTTAAGAATTCATATCCTATTACTTAGCATGACTAAGTTGTCAGAACAGCTTTCATTTAAAGAAAGAAAACTGTAATCTGTTTGACTAGCCTGCATTAAATATAAAATATAAAAAGAAGAATGATACCAGAGGAAAGAGTTGGCAGGCTGCTCATGGCAGTGACTCACTAGGCAATGCTGCTGAAAACGAGGTAAACACACATTTCCTTGCAATATCCACTTCACAATAAAATGATATTTGCTCTTTTCCTCTCAAGTTCGTATGTATTCTGATTTTGGATAAAATTATTAGATTTATGTATTTCATATTAGGAGACTCACACTTTCGGCTTTAGGCTACAGAGGTTCATATTTTGTCCAGTCACCTTAAGTAGACTTGAACCAACGTCATTTACCTATCTCCTTATAGACATTCATTGCAATCCTTGGTTATAACAGGATATTATTCAAATTCTTTTGAGCTAAAACAGAAAAGTTCAATGAAAATCAGAATTTGTCTTCATGGTATTTTATGGACTTTAATTTCCTTTCAATTCAGGTTTTAAAAAATCATAAAACTTTAATCCAGTTCATGTAACTGTGTTCATTGCTATAAAACATGGTTTTAGCCTCTTCATTACTAGACTCTTTATTGCAAATATAAGTGGAAAAATGCAACTTAAATGCTTATATATGTTCATATAACAGGTATTCATATAATTCATATAATCATGCCCTTGAACAACTAAAATGTAAACTGGTTAAAATCATAGGGTTCAAAGAGGGGACACAAGTCCTATGGGCAGATGTCTGCTACTTCAGTGCTTCAAAAGACTATATCAAACGTGAGTTAGTGCCTGAGAAGTGCAAACCTCTGAGGAAAATCCTGGCTCCACCTGTAGGCTCCACTTCTACTCAAGCACAGCAGAAATTGATTCTCCGGTGGATCACAACTAAAAGTTTAAATTTGGCATCCACTCAATACGGCTGTCCTTGAAATCAACACAAAATACCTGCTCTGCCAAAATCAGAAAAAGACTTCAATTCCATCTAGCATTAGGTAAAGGTTCCAAATACTTGAGTTGAGAGTTGAGAAAGAATCTAGGAGACACCTAAGTCTGGCATGTTCTTCCTTAGGAGCCCTCTTGCCTTCAACACCAACACTCTGGTTGCCTACTTACTGCTGGGTCTCTTTAATTTGATTCAAGCATCCACCCTAAATTCCAGGCATCCAGTCCCACTGGAATGCACCACAAGCAATGTCAGTCTCTGTCCTCAGTGTTGATGAAGGAAAAACATCACTTCCCACAAATCCCGATCTGATTTTAAATTTTCCCTAGTCCCCTGTTTTGAACATGCGTGCGCGTGCACACATACACACACACACACACATACTCATTTCTTCCTTCAGGTGACTCATACTGAGGCAATAGAGAGGTGTGGAGAACCCTGGAAGGACCATCTCTCAGCATTAACCCCATCGGCAGGATTAACCCCATCATGCTTCCACTGGCAGCTCTGGTCAGCAGGTCGGCAGTAGCAGCCCTTGAGGTTAGCACCAGGGCTTGGTGGTTTCTTCCAGCTGTTCTGAGGAAGAGTGTCAGCAGTCGTCTCGCTGCAGCAGTTCTTGTTAATACACAGGGTTTTCCATGCGTGCCCTGGTTCCTCAGCTGTCTCCTCAAGTACTACATCAACATCATTATTACTGAGAACTCACAGTGCAGTATCTGTCCCAGTGGGAATTACAGTGGTGCATGTCTCTTCTGGTGAAAGAATCTATTTAAGATGCAATTTATACTCGGGTTGCTGTATCAGGACACTTCCCAAAATTTCCAGAAAAATTCCACTGATGGCAGAGGAAAGAGGATGTGTGACCTCCAAGGATTTGAGGTTTAACGTGAAGTTGCATAGATTTAGGAAATTTTGCAAGCACAATTTTTTTGATGTCTCATATTTCAGCTTAAAAATCCAAGTAATTTTTGAAATTTATTTTCTAATATATTTATATTTATCTTAGTAAAAAATGCTTTTCTCCTCAACCCAACCCTTCAATCTTTTAGTCCAAAAATAGGTGTCCTATTTATCTTTTGTCTTGCCTACCCATTGTTGTATTTCACTCCAGGATGATGATGATGATGATGATATGATGGCAGTGATGAAGACAATTATCATGATCACAAAATATTTAATAGCCAGTTTTTATTGAGTGATTACTTCATGTCAGGAATTATGCAAAGCCCTTGGCAAGCATTATCTCATTTAATTTTTAAAACAAACTTATCAGCTTTTACAAGTATTATTCTCACTTTGTAGATGAGCTAAATGAGGCACAAAGGAGTTAAGTAACTTGCCATTGACAAACTTTTAACTAAAAATCTGAGGATTCACAATACCAACCCCCACAGAAAAGGAAATCATTGATTAATTTTTCTAATTTTTCATTAAGAGGATCTAACAGTTTCTTACCATAAATTTCAGTGGGACAAGGTACTCAGAAATTTAGAAGGGCTCTTGAACCAATTAACAGAGACACAACAGTAACTAGGTAACCAGAGTTACACCAAGAAAACTATGTAAAGACAGAATTTGAGGAATTAAATAATGCCAAAGTAAATTTGTTTGATAAATTCTTTCTCAACCCTCAGATATTTGGTATCCTTATCACATGCGGATGGAAGTTATTCCATGAATGAATTCTCTTTCTGGTACCTATAGAGCAGATACTCTATATTGGTTACAACGAGAGCCATATGTCCTGAGGCACATGTCTCCCAGTATGTATCACACTTGTGGAAGTCCATTCAGCTCCTTTTTCTTTATGTCCTAAAGCAGGACTCAGGTCCTTATTTCTTTTGTCTCAGAGGTAGCCTTTTCCCTTAAAGTTGCTTGCTCCACTTTCAACAGCATTCCCCAGGCAGTGGATGAATTTCAAGTAATTGAGAAACTTGGCCAAAGTTCAGATAGATCTTTATAATGATCTCTTCATGGAACACTGGAGTACCTGTGCAAATCAGGTCTCAGGAGTATACTTGGCCACTTTGTTACATGAGCTGGACATGGAAACTAATTCTACTGGGGTAACTGAGTTATACCTAAAATTGGTTAATAATAAAAGATCTTCTCTCAGGTCTCTTCATTTCTTTAGCTGACTAAAAATGTCTTCTCTGACCCATTTTAAGTATATAGCCTCTGTCTTCATAATAGGTCTCTACAAGAAGTATTCATTTGAATAGTGTGCTGGAGTCTTTTGCAAGGCTTTGGCTAAAGCCACGAGTCACTACTCATGCCCTTACATTACTGTCAACCTAGAAAAGTTTCATTGAAAATTTCATTCCAGAAATACATAATCTCTAAAGAAGAGCTTGGTATGCTTCTTCATTCATCAATTGGAAGCTATGTAACTTTTTTTTCTTTTCTTTTTGCATTAGTGGCCAGGAATTTTGAACTCAATTTAACGTCCTAATGAGGTAATACATTTATTTCAGGTGCTTGCTAGCATCTATTTCAATACCGCAGCTTGCTTCAACAGTTATAACCCTAGCTGCAAGTTAGAAACTTCTGTTTAAAAATACCTGATGTCTGAGATAGTGTCCAGCCCAGATCTAAGGGTGGGGCCAAGGAACTGGAATATTTCAAATGATCTCCAAGGTGATGCAAATGTAGAGGGAGATTTCAGAACCATTTCTATGGATGTTGTAAATTTGTTTTGTTTTAATTTTAGTTGTTTTATTTGTACACTAATTTATTTACATGAACTCAAGTTCTTTTGAAAGAAAAGAATCGTAATATACAAATGCATAAACCATCAATCTTATACTATTGAACAGATCTACATCTCACCAGTATGTGTCAATTTTGGCTGTCCATCAGCATCACTTGGTGAGCTGATAAAATCCTAATGCCTAGACCATATCCAAACCAATTAAATCATAGTCTCTGAAGGTGAGACTGAGGCACTGATCATTTTTAAATCTCCTCAGATGATTTTACATGCAGCCGAGGCTGAAAACTAATGATCCATATTCTCTCCCCACTTCTTAGCAATGTCTTGAAATAAGCATGTTCATAGGAAAAAATGTTAAACAAGTCAAGTTTATATTTTGTTTTAACCTAATCTTTTTATGGCACTTTTCTTCCTCAGCTGCTTAGCATCTACATCTTGTTTCAAGCCAAGGGGCACTTACCCATCTTACTTCCCTTCTCACGGAATATGTTGCAAACCCACAGAAACTGCTTATTATTCCAGTCTCTCAAAGTCTGACTGGCTAAGTCCAAGGACATTCACATGCAGAAAAAGCCTGCTTGTTCTCATAAATTTTCTAAATGGTAATACAATCTTCATTCATTTTTTCCATATTTGTTACCCCTCCTGATACCTTCTGGAGTAGGTTCTTGAATATCTAATCTAGCCGACTAAGCTTTAACTGGCTGATCAGTTTTGCTATTCGGTTCATTTGTTGACTTCTTTATCAGTTGTTTGCTCAAAATTTCTAATTTCCTCATAGCTGAATATCAATATTATTGACATTCTAATACTAGTATTGATCCAATTACATAAGACTTCTTTGAATTTCCTAACTACAGCAATACATCTACCATGAACAATTAATTGCTCTTCAAATTATACCATTTCACCATGCAATGACTTGCCTTTGCTTTTATAGAAATAGAGCATAAATTGGTGTTTGCCTGGGGGTAAGAAAGAGATGGGAGCAAGAAAAAAGTGGGTGTGGCTATAAAAGGGCAACATGAGGAATCTTTCTGGTGACAAAAATGTTCTGTATCTTTTTGTTTTCTTTTTTTGAGTTGGGGTCTCATTCTGTCATCTAAACTGGAGTGCAGTGGTGCAATCATAACTCACTTTAGCCTCAAACTCATGAGGTCAACCAATCACCCCTCCTCAGCCTCCTGAGTCTCTGGGACTACACGTGAGAGCAACCACACTCACCTAATTTTTAAAAATTTTTTGTAGAGAGGGAATTTCACAATGTTGCCCATGTTGGTCTCGAACTCCTGCCCTTAAGTGATCTTCCCCCAGTCAGGCTCCCAAAGCGTTGGGATTACAGTTATGAGCCACCATGACTGGCCAAAAATGTTCTTTATCTTGAATAAATCAATGTTAATATCTGATTGCAAAATTGTAGTTTTGCAAGATGTTACCATTGGGGTAAACTGGGAAAAGGATACATAGCTTCTCTCTGTATTGTTTCTCACAAATGCACGTGAATCTACAATTATCTCAAAGTGAAAAGGCTTTGTAAAATTTATTTTTATTTTTATTTTTTTGAGACAAGATCTCACTCTGTCACTCAGACTGGAGTGCAACAGTGTGACCACAGCTCACTGCAACCTCAACCTCCCAGGCTCAGGTGATCCTCCCACCCCAGCCTCCCAAGTAGCTGGGACCACAGGCATGACCCACCAAGCCCAACTAATTTTTGTATTTTTTGTTGAGACAAGGTTTCGCCGTATTGCCCAGGCTGGTCTCAAACACCTGGGTTCAAGTGGTCCACCCACCTTGGCCTCCAAAAGTGTTGGGATTATAGGCATGAGCCACTGCATCTGGCCTCAAAATGAAAAGTTTTTCAAAGTAAGTCCCATGGCTTACAATGCCAGCATGGAGTCACCCCAGCTTAACCCCTGCCTCACTTGGTTCTCTCTCGCCCTTTACTTTCTACACTTAAGCAATGCACCATTTTGTCTCAAATAAATTATACACATTCTCTCTGTCCTTAATGGAGGCACAAATGCACCAGCCTTCCCCACTTTCTTCCCCACTTCCCCACAACCATTCACCTCTCTTTTTCATGTCATTTCTCTAGAAGTGAGTCAGTCACTTCTAGGAAGTGAGTCAGTCACTTCTAGGAAGTGAGTCAGTCACTACCATTGGTAGCTAAGTCAGAAGGATTGCCTGCATCAATTACACTGGACCTAGGGCTAGTCTTCCCAAGACAACACAGGGCTTGGTTTTGAGTTCAGAATGTCAGTCCAGGTCTGTGACTCCCTCATGGTAACTTTTCCCTCAGGAGTCCATGTGTTCACTCCTTACATTTCAGCCATTATTTCTTTTTGACTTTTTTCTGCTTTTTCTGTCCATTATTTCTATTACATGTGTGTTGGTGTGCTTAACAGTGCCTCACATTTCTCTGAGACTCTGTTCATATTTCTTATTATTTTTATCTGTTATTTAGATTAAATAATTTCGATTGATCTGTCTTCAAGGTAGATGATTCTTTCTTTCGCCAGTTCAAATCTACCATGAAGCCACTCTAATGACGTTTTCATTTTAGTTATTGTACTTTTCAACTCCAAAGTTTCCATTTGGTTCTTTAAAAAAATTTCCTTTTATTGATATTCTCCATTTGATGAGACATTGCCACCATATCTTCCTTTACATTTTTAAGCATGATTTCCTTTAGTTTTTGACCATTTTTATAATAACTGCTTTGAAGTTTTTGTCTGTTAAGTTCAACATCTGAACCTTCTCACAGACAGTTGCTGTTGCTTACTTTTTTCCTATGTATGGGTATTTCAGGTAATACAGTATAGCAAATCTGGGTCCTGATCTCCCCAGGGCTTATTATTGTTGTTGTTGTTTGCTTATTTATTTGCTTATTAATGTGACTATACTATTTTAGTGAAGTCTATTTTCCCTACAACATGAAGCCTCAGACACTGATCCTCGGAGGGCAGTGCCTTGGGCATGGCACAGTCACCTTGAGATGACAGTAGTTTTAGCCAGTCTCTTTTTGACTGTCTTTCCCTCTGATTCCTTTGTTAAGATGTTTGCCTCTGTTGGTATCAAACTCAACTGTTAGGCTCCACTAAGTGCTGACTGTTGCTTTGTTGTTTAGACTACATGCTGGGGCATACATGTCTCCACAGTCTGATCCAATTAAATTCAAGCCGTTTTGTAAAGTCAGTATTGAGGCCAGACTTTGAGGTTTGTTCTCACCTCAGGAAAGCTCTTCTTATTTGTCTTTTTCTCTGATTCCTTCTGATAAAGTAGCTAACCTATAGTTTATCTTGTTGCTTTCATAAAGCTATCAGCTTCTTCTTAATTGCTTACTACCAAAATCTTCATTGTTTTTAAGAACTCCTGTAGGCCTGAACTTTCTCATACTCTGTCATAAATAAATCAGTTCCATTGGGAAGATTGTTAGTGCTCTCAGTTCCTATAACCTGCTTCTCTACCTAGGCAAAATCTCTGAACCACCAGAGCTGAAGGTAGGGTTAGTGCCTGCTGCTCCAAAATGATACCCATGCTTTGTGATTAGGGAATTAAGCAAGGACTGTAGTCTCTGGTCTTTTCAGCTTGACTCTCCTCTCTCCTAGTGTAGATCCTCTACCCTATGAATAAGCTGAGCCAAGGACAAAGGAGCCCCACCTTGCCATGCCTGGTTTAGAACTTCCACCCCATGAGCTGGATTGGGGAATGTTAGCCTCCAACCTCTCAGCCACATGAAAATGCTGATGGCCTGACCCTCCTGGAGAAGATACTAAGTCCTTGACTGGGAGCTGGGGGAGGAGAGACATCAAGAAAGTCTTGTCTTTTTGACTACACTCACCACACTCACCCAGAGGGGACCTTCTGACACAATGAGCTGGGGGAGAGGAAGAAAAGGGAACAGGTCATATCTCAAGTGCCACAGACTCTCACTGTGCCTTCTAAGATAGTAAATTTTCTTGAACAAATGTATCTTCATTTTCTGTATGAAGACACATTTGTATCTTCTTTATACCATCTCCAGTTACTTTAATTATTTTTGCAATTATTTTGACCAGTTGTAGTTGTATCCCAGGGGAGCAGGACTGTGGTTCTCCCAACACTGCTGTTACACAAGCCATTCAAGTTAGAGCTATCTTGATTCCTTTGAGAGGCTCCAGGATTGTGATTCTCAGAAGAGAAAGCCTGTGGTTCCTGATTCTTTTCCTTCCCTGAAGCTTCTTAGACCTGTATGCAAATTCCCAGTAACTTTGGTACTATATACCAAGATATGAGAGATGGCCTTTCAAACCAAAAGTGAGTATATTTTTCTACCTTTCTCACAGAATGATAAGTATCTACTCTCATTATTTTTTTATAACCAAAAATTTACATTTTCTCCATAACAAAAACCTTGGGAAGGAACTTGAGATTGCCACTGCTAGATGTAAACTGGCAGGCAACCATCAAACTGCAGTCTTTCTTGCTAATTTTTTTCAGATTCCACATTATCAGTTGTGGAAGCATGTCAGCCCTATTACATGAGTTCAGTATCATTTTTCCCATCAAGAATATAACACCATGGGGTTAAGAATCATTTTGTCCCTAGCACCTGATACATGATGTGTGCCCGATAAATACTAGCTGAATGAACAGACATTGATTATAAGAATTCATGTCAGGACACTGCTACACTTGATACTTGGGGAAAAATTGACAATCCTGTTGGTGAACATCTGATTTGAAAGTAGCTTAAAGACTAGGCCATTCCTAGAAATGAATGCCATCTAAAATAGCTGTTGGGAGTCTGATATGTTATGTCCCTATGTTTTCCCCCCAGTGCATTCTCCATCACTCTCTCCCTCTTTTCCCCTCCAAGTGAAATCATACTACCTTGATATAAGGTTAATTCAAAGGTTAGCCTTGAAAAGAAAAACATTGCCTTATAACAAAAGCCTGGAAAGAACACGGAAAAACGCACCCATTTGCCTTGGTGATAGAATGGCCCTTATGGATTGATCATGCCTTTGGCAAATTCAAACCATGTGATGGCTGAATCCATTTCTTTGCATAGTGAGCTCCCTTCTTGACCCATATCCCACGACCCTGGACTTTAGGTTGATCTGAGGTTCCAGGGCCAAGATTATTACTAGATTTGCTGCATCTGAATTCTGCAGGCAGTTCATTCCCAGAGCTATCTATGTACTTTAGATTTTATTGCACCTGATTGCTTTGGGAACAAATAGTCCCATCCTGAGGTGACTGACACATAAGGTTATCAACACCCAGCCGAGGTTTCATAATCATTGCACTGTGTCTTCAGAGAATGTAACATGGAATTTTGCTTAGGAATTATTCCACTGCTTTCTCAACACTGAGACTCAGCTCAAGTCCCCAGAAAGCTTCTGATATACACCCGAAACAATATATATAATCCCTAGGGTTATTTTTATGCCATTATAATTCCTAGCATCTGAAAGGTAGAAATAGGAAACCATAAAAGAAAGTAGTGAATATTAAAATATTAAACAAGCAGCATAACATGCAGTATATATTTTTATTATTAAATTTGGTCACCTCTAAAAATGTCAATTTTTCCCACTTAAAATAGAAAGAAAGTGCAGTGAAGATCTAGGTTCTTGTGCTGCCCACTAAATAAAATGAGAGGAAAGGAACGAGAACTTTCATGTCAAATTGTAAAAAGAAATTCTTGTCTTTTTGGCTACAAGAGACAGTGAACACATGCCAGACACAACTACTGTGAAATTCCTAGTGTAATGCTCAAAATAATGCTAAAGTTATTCTATTGGCAAATCTTTCCCAAAGGATCACAAATTCCGTTTCATTTATCTCAGATATGTAATGTTTTTTAATTTCTACTCTTATGCCAAAGCTACCTAAATGATGCTGAAATAGTAAGTTATTGTAATAATTTTAGAGAAATTAATCAATGGGTATTATGGAACTAGCTGATGCATTTCCAAAAACAAATGGCTTGCCAAAATGCTAATTCTGAATTTACAGAAGCACTAATAATGTCACCAGTTAATGTTAACTTCTAATAATAAAACTAAAAAAAAAAAAAAAAAAAAAAACCATGAATTAAGTTTACTGCCTATAAAGATTTTAGCTATTGAGGGAGTTACAATAAAAGTGACTTACCTTTTCTGGAAACATCACAAACCATAGACTGAACTACAAATTACTTCAAAGTAAAATAACTAGCAAAATAATTCTGTTTTTCTAAAAATAAACTCTATTTCATCTTTTTAGGATTATTCTGGCTTATTTAATAAGTTCAATTTTTTCATTACTTCCATTTATTTCAGCCATGAAATTTGAACAATATTTTCTAAGTTGACCCTCCCTTATAAATGTTGGTTATTTATATCTTGAAAAGCCAACAAATGACCCCAAAATATTAAATGTTACTGAAAATTACATTGAAAAAACTTGCTATACAGAACCTAAATTATCTGCCATTACATAGCACATTGTTTACATTAAAATGACTTTACAATTCAACTGCCTGCACTAACAAGACTACTAGTTGAGTAAACTCTTGCCCAGGAAGACAGTGCAAATAACTTCATTGCTTTTTAAAGAAAGTTTCCAAAAATTCATTTGCTCCAATAATAGACTACTCAACAATCCCTTGTCAGAGTAAATACCCATCTCAGGACATTGGATTGCTTGACTAGGCTCATCAATCTACTCTTCAAGACTACTTCGCAAACCCCACCTCACTATGTCCACCAATTTGAAACTATTTTGTTACAAATTTTCCTCAGTCCTAATTAGCTCTCTACCCTGTATTGAAAGATGCATCCTAAATCAGAACCCTCAAATCTCAGAAACATTCTACCTTATTCTGAGAAATAAGGTAGAAAGAGAAGCTTCTCAGAAGCTTCTGAGAAGCTACAAAGACTCCCAAAGACAGATCATCCCTTACTGAGGTAATAAATAACTCTGCTTTGCTTTGTCAATAGGTTATTTTGGTAGTCTTTTCGGAGATTCATGGAATCAATAATTAACACTGCAAATTTTCAAATAAATTTACTTTGTTACAAAATCAGTGATATTAAGTACATCCAATATTCTTATTTATGCAGTAGTTTTAAATATAACAACTCCCTACTAAACGTTTTATTGAACTAAGTAGGCAAGTCTCACATAAAATCTTAAAAAAAAAAACTACATGAAAAAAATCATCTAATTACTTTTTACAAGTTGTACTGTCATAAAACCGTTGGAACATCTTCATGGCTTCAGTCTTGGGTTTTTTTAATCTTCTTCTATTACAACTACATTAAAAAAACCTGCAACTTTCCTAATTTTATTAACTTATAAAGTGAGCCAAAGTCTCTTTGCTTACAGAAGGTACACAAGGACATTGGATTCACCCATAACATAATTCACAGACTAGTAAAAACTTAGAAATGTCTGATGTAATATAAATTTAAAATCCTTTTTGCTTCTAAAATTGAATGCTGAAAGAGTTAGCCAGATATTTCTATTCCACAAGTTTGCTCTGTCCTGTAACTTTATTCTAAAATCATTTCAATTTCTACTAAGGCATTTCCGGAACATATCTCATTAATTAGTGTTAAAGTATTCAAAGTGTAATTTAAGTATTCATGTATGGAAGATTGATGGAGTAGTTCCTTTTCTTGGGTTTGAGGGACTAATAAATAACTTCCCCTTTTCTTGCCCAACTTCCAAACCATTTGATAAATAGATGCAACAATGGAACTCAAAAATATCAGCTCTGTGACTCATAAAGCTCTCGGAGGACAGGGCTTGGGGTCTGTTAGTGCAGTGAACTTTGCTGACAGTGCAGATAAATGTAAACCCCTCCGTTTTAGGTTTCAAGATGAAAGTAACTGATTCTAAAGAGCACCAGGATAAAGAGATTGCTCTACCTTCCTTCTGAATTTTGCCGATTTTCTCCCAATATCCTCAATCAGATAAGTTATTTTATCTCCCTTAGTGAAGACTGAGTGAGGGAATGGAGAAGACAGTTTACCCACAGAAAACCTCTATATGTAAATACAAAGCCAAGGGAAAGGAGCTTGTCCCTAAACACACAATACCTATATAATATGATTTGAGGAGTGGCGATAGGTAACTACCACTTGTTGTTCTACAAACTATTTCCTCTGCTGTTTGGGGTAGATGTCTAAAATATTCATCATAATAGATAGATTTTAAAATCAGTTAATAAATCTCCAGAAATTTCCCATTCACTTAAAAAATAACAGACATTACAAGATAATTTTTAAGGGTAAAATCATTAATCTTAGACTAATATAAAATTAGCATGTGCCAACAAATTTATTTAACTCATTAATTAATGAGAGAACCAGTAAGATGTTACAACCGGTTCAAAAAACATTTCAAAAAGCTCACACATATAGGCAATCAAAAAAACTGAAATGAATGTATGAATAGATTCAAAATTGGTTCATATTGACAGAACAATAAAAACTGATCAAAGCAGCCAGGCACGGTGGCTCACGCCTGTAATCCCAGCACTTTGGGAGGCTGAGGCAGGCGGATCACCTGAGGTCAGGAGTTTGAGACCAGCCTGGCCAACATGTCAAAACCCATCTTTACTAAAAAAAGTAAAAATATTAGCCGGGTGTGGTGGTGCGCACCTGTAATCCCAGCTACTCAAGAGGCTGAGGCAGGAGAATTGCTTGAACCTGGGAGATGGAGGTTGCAGTGAGCCGAGATCACGCCACTGCACTCCAGCCTGGGCAACAAGAGCAAGATTGAGTCTCAAAAAAAAAAAAATTGATCAAAGCTATGTGCATTTCTACAGACAAAAGTCACTTACATTAATATCATTTTTCTATAACTTTCAGTTGTAAATGCACTTAAAGACAAGGAAAACAGATAATCTAGAAGGATACACTAGACAGGATATCCAGCAATTTTGGGTACCTTTCAAAGCAAAGTCTTCCACAGTATTTCCTGACATCCTATTAATGAGAAAAACTAGTAAACAGTTATCTCTACATATACATTAACACATTAGCGTACACTATTTCACCATCAAAAATATGAGATGTGAAAAAAACTTTCATAATTTTTTTATAAACCACCATGATTTCCACATTTCCTCTGCATTCAGGTTGTCACTGTCAGTTAGCCTACTAGCATCAGCTGACGTTTATCATCTGGCCAAGGGGAAAGGAAAAGGGCAAGGGCTGAATGTGGGATTCCTTCCGAGTTCTTATCTTCCTATAAGCAATCCTAGGAAGAATTATCTGGCTCCTCATCTTCTCTCTTCCAAAAATATTCCTGAACCTATTGATTTTATTTCCTGATTCCTCCAGGGATTTTCTCTTGACACTGGAAAACAAACTTTTACTGCTGAGAGACCTCATGTCTATCAAAAAGCCTACTTCTTACAAATCAAGTGTCTTGGGATTCAAGATTGTTTTCTTTGTTTTCAGTTCAAATCACTGTTTTAAAACTGAAGTTATGAGCCTATCACTTCTTCTTGTCATCTCTGCTACAATATTTGTAATACCCCCAAAGCAATGAATACTTCTGTCAGAAAAGGAAGAGGTTTATTTACAAGGAGGTATAAGACCTGTCCTAAGTGCAAGATTCGATTTAAATTATATATCACACTTCTAAATTTTCAAAAAATTACATTTTACGACTTTTTAACTCTAAGCCAAAAATATTTAGCACACGACCAGACCAATAAGTATATAAAACATTGAAACGACTACAAGGAGAATAAATACTACGCTAACAATTTTTAAAAACTGAAATAAAGTCTATGCAATTGTTAACTCTTAAGATGACACAAATTAGGTCTGCTAACATAAAAGGGAAATTTTATCGATTCAGATCCATGCCAGCTATCTTAATCTGCTGCATTGCCCGCAGAACAGAAAATCCTTGGATTTCTCCCTGAAAATCATGATTTCCAGGCTAGGCTCATTTTCCTTTTTCTAAATGTTTCATGTTTGGAAACACCACCTGAACTAACTGCACTGATGTTAGCAGACCCAGCTTTGATTCCTAATATCATCTAGCAGTTATTACTGACAATAACTGCTATGACTTACAAAAACTTCTGATTTTCAACTGCCATTATGTCTAAGGCAGTTTGGGCAAAACAGCTGAGGTAAAACAGGAAGATGAAGTTTACAGCTTGAGGGAAGCAACAGCTGTTGGCTGTCTTGAGAAAGGAATTGAGTACAAAACACAAACTTCTGTTGATTATGCATGCAAGCATAAAAGATAAATGACTCAGTGAAATGACTCACTTCATTTTCAAGTAAACTTTGTAGTTGTTACTCCTCTTCTACTATGTTAAATATTTAAGTTTACCTTTAATTATAGGCTAAGTCTGGACATCAAAACTTAAATTCTTTCAGCCTGCTACAAGAAGATATTAAATGCTTACTTCCAAAAATAACTTTGTTAATTGCTGTAGTAAGACATAAATCTGGCAGCGAATCCTTTGAAAATGAATACCACATGGATCAAATCATCTAATTAGTTTAGACAAGCCATAAATATGTTTTAATGGGCCAAAACTGTAAAATTGTTGGAGGCACTGCATAATTTCTTGGGGGGATTAAGTTGCTTTGCTTATTATTTTTGCTATTAATAATAGTATTTATTTGTACTCAGATAAGACTTGGAACTGTACACAATATATAGTCAAGAAACCCTCCATTTTAATTTGAAAAGAGAAGTAGTTGTGATTAAATACGCTTAAAATATTTTCATTTTTCCATTTTTTTAACTTTTTAATTTTTCTTTCATTATTAAAAGCCTCCAAAAAAGAGGAAGAAAAACATGAGAATAGTAAGAAAGGGGGAGGAAAGGCTGATAGAGAAGGAAAAAGGAAGAGAAGTAAAACAGGAAGGAAGGAGATGAGAAGTTGACCAGTTGGGGTCATTGACTGGAAGAAATAGTAACTGACTCCAACTAGCTTAGGCAAAAAGGCAACTTATTGGAAGCATATAGGTAGTTCGTAGATTAGTGAGGAAAGCTTAGAATCTTGACACACAAAACCAAACTTTTACTGCTCAAAGACCTTGTGTGTATCAAAAAGCCTAGCACTTTTTGAGAATTACTCACAGATTAGCGAGTAAAGCTTAGAATCCAAGGTTTGAAAAAAAACAGGAATGAGGGCAAAAACTAACAGATGCCTTCTTCCAGGTGGGATAAATCAGTTCCAGTGATTTTCTATTTATCCATCACTGTGTCTGGATACAAACGTTAAAAGAGAATTTTAGACAAATTAAATTTAACAGAGTTTAATTGAGCAAGGAAAAAAATGATTCACAAATCGGGCAGCCTCCAGAATCACAGCAGATTGAGCAAGACTCCAGGGATGCCTCACGGTCAGAGCAAATTTGTAGACAAACAAAATAAGTGACGTGCAGAAAAACGGAAGTGAGGTACAGAAACAGCTGGATTGGTTACAGGTTGGCATTTGCCTTCTTTGAACACAGTTTGAACAGTCAGCAGTGTACACGTGGTTGAAGTATGGCTGCTGGGATTGGCTGAGACTCAGCTATTGTTACAGAAGCATACGCCTAAGTTAGGTTTTCAGTCTTGTCTACCTATTAACTTAGGTTACGGTTCGTCCAAAAGGACTCAAATATGGAAGTACAGAGGCTTTTTCAGGCCATATTTAGTTCACTTTAACATAAATACTAAAGATAGAGAGTAGCACTGACCTAATTTGATTTAATGCTTACCCCTTAACTAAAGGGGATCCAGGGATGCTACACCCATGGGGAGACTGGAGAAATGGAAGAAGGCAAAACTAGCAAAGACATGAGAGTGAGGAACATGCAAAGAAGGAGAGGAAAAATCTGAGCAAAAGCAATGTGAATGCTTTGAACACATTCTTTGTACACATTCAATGAATTCAAGCATGCTTTTTGAGACTTTCATTTGCTTTGGGGCGGTGAGAAGGGGAGGGAGTTGATGAGGATGACTGAAGGATAAGTAGAGGCTGATGTTTTTAAGGAAACAGATCAGTAAATGATTTTTTTCAGAATAATTTCTGAATAGTGACCTGAATAAAAGATGCACTTCGACATTTAAAACTCCATCTTGAAATTGATTTATATATGACTAATTCAGAACATTGTGTATAGAAAATCAATCTGAATTATAAATTATGTTTCAAAAATGCCCTTCTGTTTTGTTCATTTAAACACAGTAATTGAATTAAATGTTAACAAATTTGCAGTTTATAGAACTCTGCCAGGAATAATTTTATTAATAGGTCATTTAATAACATACAAATAAATTACATTGAATATATAGAGTTTAATCTAAAATAGTTTAATCCTAAAATAGTTTAATATCTTTAAAAGAGTCTATTAGCATTTTTCATTGCATTACTTATTTATTCATTTTTTTAGGTATTATGCAAAGGTAAACTCCAATACAACCTGGATAAAATTTTCATGCAATCAGAATTAGTAGAATCCTCCAAATTAAAAAGGTTTTACATTATTTTAATATATTAAAAATTCTACTGAAAGATGATAGTAACATAAGCAAACTCTACTAAAATTACATTGAAACCTTTGTTTTAATATGTTTAAAACATTCTAGAAGCAATTCCAAATACTTGTTTCTTTTCTAAAATTCAGCTTCAAGCATTTGAATCTTAGAAAAGAAAGTATAAGGAAGACAGGACAAGGATAATAGTAAGACAAGAATGAAAGAGAAAATTATTTTCTCCTTTGAAGGAGCTCAAATAATCAACATTACTCAGGAGTTACTTCAGCGAAAGATGTATGGGAATTATAGGCAAGCCAAAGAAATAGAAATTGCAGATCTATAGTCTGAACAAGAAGAACAGAAAAGAAACATCATAAATAAAAAGTAAAGGTATTTTAAACTGTACAATTTGCTTCTTATGACTAGTTAATTAATATGTGTCACCAAGCTTTTTTAAAATACAGCCTAAGCACACCAAAGCATCAGTGTAAACTTCTCATCCACTTCTCCTAATCTTGAACCTAGCAGATGGTGCTAAAATAAACAATGATGCAGGGACAGGCCTTTCACTGTACAGCCTAACTATTTTCATTTAATCATCCAAATGTGGTTAGGTGACTTACTTTCTGATGGGAACCAAAAACCCCTGGATCTCCTTCCTGTTCATTCTATCCATGCTCTGAAAATGCTGTTCTCTGACAGTGAAATCTGTTTTCATTCTCATTCCTAATTGCTCCCTTTGAAAACTTTCAGCCTCAGAGGCACTGCAGTGAGAAGCCTACACCAAATGCTTTACTCAAAAGCAGTAACCCCCCATGAATTCTGTGCCTTGGTGGGCAGCTATTTGGCTACTTGGATGTTAGCTATTTGTTGAGCCCTACACTGCAGGCCTGTTCTACTCATTAAGCATCTTGGGCTCAATGCCTAGTGGCAATGAACATTTCAAGGGCCTACAAAAGAGTTTGAGACCTGAAAAAAAATTATAAACTCCAAAATACAAAAAGAAAAACAATAGTTGAAGTAATAAGTAAATGCCTACACAACCTATTCAATTTAGTCAATCATTCAAGTAAATTGATATGCATAAAATTTTTACCACATTTGCAAAAACTTGCAGATTAGATTTTGGGGCTTTCCCTGGTCATACCACTTCCTGACAATGCACACTGATTGGTCAAGAAATATTGGCCAATTATCAAGTAAATGTGTTATGTATAGCCAAGTAATTTTAAGCTCTTTAAAATTTTTTACAACAAAAATAATTAATTTGGTATGAGTACACTGAAATGCATTTGCAATAATATGACAAGGTGACTCCAAAAGTACAATGCTTATGAATCACTCAAGCCTGTTCAATCAGAGCTGGAGACTTTGGAAGTAAAAGATGAAGGAGACATCTCCCAGCCTCCCAAGCTACTACCAAGCCTAAGAAGATACCGACAAAAAAACAAAAAAAAAACAAAAAAAAAAACAGCAAAAAGGATTCACAGGTGAGAGAGGAGAGAGAGGATCAGGAAAAATAATAATGGGTACTAGTCTTAATATCTGGGTAGTGAAATAATCTGTACAGCAAACCCCCATGACACAAGTTTACCTATATAAAAAACCTGCATGTGTATCCCTGAACTTAAAATAAAAGATAAATTTTTAAAAAACGATTCACAATGCAGAGGTAGGCACAGATCCTGTGGCTGTGCATAAGAACCACCCCCCACCCCACCACCACCCCTGAACATCACACTGGGGTTGATGGGGACAGGAGACATTATCCTCCTCAAAGAACATCTGCCCTGAACTATCAATCCCACTTTTAAAAATCTATTTTGGAACTTTAATCTAGCTTTGAAAATATTAAATTGATATTAATATGAATATGAGTCAAGTATGATCATAAAACTTGCAGGATACAGTAGCGGTTCTTCATGTTTGTTTCATGCCCCAAAACACATGAATGATGACTTCTTGTATTTCATTCTTTCATCAATTCATGTGTATTGACCACTTACTATGTTAAGTAAACCTATTCTGGAAACCCTTTTTGACACTCTCCTGTGATTTTGAGGATGTTCCTGAAAATATTGAAGAATAAAGCTAACAGACCTGCAGATTTCTTTTTTAAATATGATATTCACAAAGCAATATTGCTCTTTAAAGGATCCAAACATAGGTAAAACCAATGGAATTATTTTGAAGCTCTAGTTCTTTCTCCCCATTCAGAAAAAGAAGGAAAGCAAGTGACTGACATCACATTCATAATTCTTTAATTTAAATAATTTCCAAACATGTGTATTCAATTTTTATTAGCAACATATCACTTAACACTTTTTCCTGCTGCTCTCAATTCCAAGAATGATTAGCTGTTAGGTCAGAAGGTGAGGTTGACAGTTTATTAGACTGAGAGGAAGGAGGGCAAGAATCTGTCTAGTCCCTATGACCAGTAGCAGGCTGAGCCTTAAGTGTTCCTAAGAACTAAGCCATACTCACTACTCACAGGCAACCTGGGAGGCAGGGAGAGTCCCATTGAAAAGAAAAGAAATGAGGGTCAGGCATGGTGGCTCACAACTGTAATCCCAGCACTTTGGGAGTCCAAGGCAGAAGATCACTTGAGTCCAACAATTCAAGAGCAGTTCGGGCAATATAGCGAGACTCTGTCTCTACAAAAACTAAAAAAAAAAAAAAAAAAAAAAAATTAGCTGGGCACTGTGGTGCGTATCTGTACTCCCAGCTATTATGGAGGCTTGGGCAAGAGGATTGCTTGAGCCCAGGAGGCCCAGTCTGCACTGAGCTATGATCATGCACTGCACTCCAGCCCTGGCAACAGAAGGAGACCCCACTCAAAGAAAAATAAAGAAAGAAAGGAAGTGGGAAAGCCAGAAAGGAATAGAATAAATGAAATAGGGAAAATAAGAATATTCGTTGCTTTGTGAATATCATATTTTAAAAAGAAGTCTGCAGGTCTATTAGCTTTACTTTTCAATTTTTTTCAGGAAAATCCTCCAAATCGCAAGATACCATCAAATAGAGGTAGGAGAATAAAAGAGAAGGAGAGAAATGAAAGGAGACAAAGAAAGAGATGCAGATTATTTGAACATTTCCAGGAACTCCATGGTTCTGGAGTTTTCCATTCTCCACTATCCCCCACCTTTTCCCTCCACTGCTAATGCATTTTGTAACCAAAGGCAAGAGGTAATAAATGCTACCTCTCCCCTCCAAATTCTTGCAGATAGTGTGAGAATAAACAAGGTAATAGATATCTAAGTGCACTGAATCCCTTGCCTGAGGTAAATCTAAAGCCTTTCTCCCCATCACCCTTCCTTTTCAATTTATTTAGAAGAGGGATAAAACTACTTATCGTCTTTGATTTTGGGGAGTGAGTGCTATCTGATATGGTGATTCCTATTTTTGAGCCCAGCAACTATCATGAATAATCCGGTTAGTGTGGTTTTTTAGAGCAATGCTTGGCGGTCATAAAGCAAATGCATTAAGTCAGAACAATAGGTACATTGATCCCCTGAATATATTAGTTTTAGATTCAGTATTCTAGATGGTGTTGGGGCTCAGAAAATGATACCCCAAAACAAAGGCCTCAGAAACAAAAGTCTCTCTCTGACCTCCTGCCCTCTTGTCCCTTGCCCCTTATTCTCCCTCAAGGCAAGCCATAGAAATTAGAATCCCTTTTCCCCAAGGTGGGAAATATTTTAGGCCATAAGGCCTAAAAATATTACTCACTTCCCCTCCTCCCCTACCCACCACCTTTGTATGTAATAGCTGGCCATAAAGAAGTTGAGACCCTCCTTCCAGAGGAGTCCTACTCCATAGATGGAATCTCCACAGAGAGTCCAAGATGAGTCTGAACAGAGACTTTGCCCAATTTCCCCCTTCAGTCTATAAGCATTAGATCATACCACTTGCCCAATCGTGTCTCTACACAACTGTCCATTCTTCATTGAACCTAGGCATAAAAATGAATAATTTCCCCTGTATCTTTGAGTCTTCAAAGGTTCCATGTTACCTAAAACTACAATCAAATATCAAATTTCAAAAATCAAATTTCTTATGCTCTTCTCTTGTTAACATGTCTTTGTTATTAGAGTGTCTGCCTTGATTCTTATGATAGGGAGGAAAGAGATCACCCACTTTCCAGTCCTACAATGAGGAGGAAATAGCGGGATATTTACTGTATTGAGCTTGAAAAAAAGTGATTGAAAATGAACCTTCAACTGGCAAGAGAAAGAGAGATTCTATCTGGCTTTCTTTTACAATGTTCCAATATCATTTTGAGATTATAACAAGACATGTTTGTCATCGTGACTTTATTAGCCTTCCAAAAGAAGTTCAAGATTAACCAGAAAATACATTACTTAAAATAAGACATTAATAATATATTCTACAAAGAAACAGATGCAAAATATGCTAATAAATCTGGCCAAAACTAATTATCAAAACTGAGTCACAAGATGTGTACCACACATACATTTGCATTTGTGCCTGAGCACTGCAGCCCGAAAGGCTCATCCCATGGCTCTACTGGCAGATGTAACTGAAGAACTGGAAATGTTGAGTCTTGTCATGACAATGCTTCTTTCTGTTAAACGGTTTAAAATGTTTGACAAATGCATTGCAAAGCTATGCAAGGAAATGCTTCCCTTCCAGGGATTAGATTCTTGAAGCAGACCATTGACACTGGTCTTTGTCAGTAATTCAGCCCACATTAGCAAAAGAAAAGCTTCTTACAGACAGACTAGGCTCTTAAGGATCCTCTAAAGGGAACACTGAGGGCTTTGTTTTTGCTTCTTCACACGCTGTTAATGAGGGTTTAACTGAGGGAAAGAGCAGAGCGTAGTTCTTTGTCCTCAGAGATTTGGCTTTCTTTTTCTTTCCTTCTTCTTTTAAATAACAATTATTTCCAATCTTTACCATGTTAAGACTGTAGTCTAATCAGATCACAAGGAGACTAATGACTTGATTTCTAATTAAATGGAAATAAATCATCTAAGAGAATGGTCTTTTTCTCAAGTGTGTACAGCTACCAAGAAGCCTTTGGTCAAATTACTGCCAGAAAAAAAACAAAAACAAAAACAAAAAAAACTCAAAGCTACAGAAATTGGGAATTTGGCTACAGATGAATATTTTTCCACATAATAGGACAATGCTACAGAATGAATTCTTAGACCAATTTTTCCTTTATTTGAGTATATTTATTACCATGAGGTAGCTTGACTCTTTCATTTGGTTTCCCATTTACTTTTATGAAGTCTTGTTTCTAATTAAAAACTAACCTTACCTCTCATTATTTGTTTACACTCTCAAATGTCTTCATTTTCTTATTTTATTCTTTATTTCACTTGCCAGAAACCATTGACTGCACAAAGTAAGTTGAATAACTCATCATGGTGCTCAAAAACTCTTCCCTCTTGAGAGGGACAAAGTTGCATCTAAGCCAAAAGTTGATTATGTGTCCTAACATATTTTTCCTCACATTCAAATATGGAAGCAGAGTAAAATAGCACAGTTTACTCTCTCTGAATCCCATGTCTTATTATTTCCCCTCATTCTAATATGAAGGCATATTATGTACTTAATATGATACAAGACGTGAAATGATTAAATACCCCCAACCTCCAAACCACGGGGATTTGGGGATGTTTAGTACAAGACCTCTTATCTGACACAATGACACAATCAGGATTTATATATGGTTATTAATTGTAAAAGTCATTTAGTGTAGGAAATATATATGTACATACACACAAACACATTGTATTTTAACTTACCATTGTTGAATAATCATTTTCCAGTCTTCTGACATAGAACAAGTCTTTTGAATTTTTGAATTTGGGTTTGTTGGTTGAACCTATTACCACCTACCTAGATTACCAAAGTAAATCTCTTTCTTTACACATTTAATCAGCTTGAATATTTAATTGTTACCTGCAGTGGGCCATTCTTGCACTGCTACAAAGAAATACCTGAGACTGAGTAATTTATAAAGAAAAGAGTGGCCAGGCATGGTGGCTCACGCCTGTAATCCCAGCACTTTGGGAGGCAGAGGCGGGCGGATCACAAGGTCAGGAGATCGAGACCATCCTGGCTAACACGGTGAAAGCCCGTCTCTACTAAAAATACAAAAAATTAGCCGGGCTTTGTGGTGGGCGCCTACAGTCCCAGCTACTTGGGAGGCTGAGGCAGGAGAATGGCATGAACCTGGGAGGCGGAGCTTGCAGTGAGCCGAGATGTCGCCACTGCACTCCAGCCTGGGCGACAAACAGAGCGAGACTCCGTCTCAAAAAACAAACAAACAAACAAACAAACAAACAAAATTAGCTGGGCGTGGTGGCGGGCACCTGTAGTCCCAGCTACTCGGGAGGCTGAGGCAGGAGAATGGCGTAAACCTTGGGGGTGGAGCTTGCAGTGAGCCGAGATCGCGCCACTGCACTCCAGCCTGGGAGACAGAGCAAGACTCCGTTTCAAAAAAAAAAAAAAAAAAAAAAAAAACAGAAAAGAGGTTTAGTTGGCTTAGTTCTGCAGGCTTTACAGGAAGCATGGTGCTGACATCCACTTGGCCTCCAGGGAGCCTCAGGAAGCTTACAATCATGGCAGAAGGCAAAGGAGGAGCAGGCAAGTCACATGGTGAAAACAGAAGTAAGTTACATAGAGTGGGGTGGGGAGGTGCCACAGTCTTTTAAATGACCAGATCTCATGAGAAATCACTGTCATGAAGACAGCACCAAGCCATGAGGAATCTGCCTCCATGATCCAAACACCTACCACCAGGCCCCACCTCCAGCATTAGGGTTTACAATTCAGCATGAGATTTGGGTGGGGACAACTATCCAAACTACATTATTATCGAATTATAATAACAAGTACATCTGGAATAAACAGTTTAAGCAACTTGCACAACTTACTCTTGCTAGCTTGTAATTCAACTGGTGAGAACAGAAATATGTGAGTATACCAGAGATAGCCTATTCACTCAGGTGCTGAAGATGCCATGAGTACTAGTCAGCATGTTTGCAAAGGTAATGGAGAGTGCAGCTAAACTACAAAGTCATATAAGTGGAAATCAGTTAAGCAGTTATGACATTTTTAATATATTACACAAAACATTGGGGTTAAAACTGCTAATAGAAAGGTTTTTGGTGTTTTGTTTTGTTTTGTTTTGGAGAAGAATGCTTAAAATTCCCTTCTGCTTCTACCATATGCAGAAGAATCTTCACTGAGAAATAGGTAAGAACAGATAACTACAGAGCAAAGACATTTGGGTTTGAGGGGGGCACAGGGCATTACATCAGTGAGCAGTCATTCCTGGTACTCAAAAATCTTCCAACTAAAATGATTTAGAATATGCTGGATATAAGTAATCATTCACAGGAACCAATTATTAAATATTCTACTTACTTAGAAGGGATTTTGCACAATTATGATTCCAAAGCATAAAAATAAGCAGCAACATATATTTAAAAAAAAAAAAAAGAAAGAAAACTCTACAACATGACCAACTAGATTTATCCCAGGTATGCAAGCCTTAAAATCTGAAAGTCAATTAATATACACAATTTTAATAGTATAAAGGAAAAAACCACATGATTCTCTTCTCAATAGATATAAGCAGCATGTAACAAATTTCAGTATCTATTCATGATAAAATCTCTCAACAAGCTAGAAGAAAATAGAAAGGAACTTGATAAAGGGCATCTGCCAAATACTTACAGTTATCATCAAACTTACTGGTAGAAGATAAAAGCTTTCCCCCTAAGATTGGAAATAAAGCTAAGATGTTCCCTCACCATTTCTATTCAACATTGTACTGGTGGCTCTAACTACAGCAATGAGGCAAGAAGAAAACCTTAAAGGTGTATATACTAGAAAAATAAATAATCTGTCTTTATTTGAGGATGACATCATCCTTTACATACAAAATTCTAATACATTTATATTTTTTAAAAAAACTACTGGTTTATATTTATAAACAAGTTTAGGAAAATCACAAGCTACAATGTCAACATACAAAAATCACTTGCATTCTTTAAACATTAGCAACAAGCAATCCAGAAATAAAATTAAGAAAATAGCTTCATTGGCAGGAGAATCAAAAAGAATAAACTAGGAATAAATCTAAAAGGTATTAGAGTTGTATACTAAACTACAAAACATTACTGAAATGAATTTTAAAATATCCAATCAAAAAGACATTTCATGTTCAATGATGGAATAACTCAATATTGTTTAAATGACATTTTTTCCCAAATTAATATATAAGTTCAAGGTAATCCTGATCAAAATTTCAGCAGAATTTTTTATAAGTTGTTAAACTGATCAAAAATACATATGACAATGCAAAGGAACAAAATAGCCAAAACAACTTTGAAAATTGGAGAAAATTAGAATTACCTAATTTCAAAACTTGCTAGAATGCTACTGTAATAAGGCAGGATTGTATTGGTATAAGGAAAGACATATAAATCAAGGGAATAAAATACAAAGTCCAGAAATAGGCCAGGCACGGTGGCTTATGCCTGTAATCCCAGCACTTTGGGAGGCCAAGGTGGGCAGATCATGAGGTCAGGAGATCAAGACCATCCTGGCTAACATGGTGAATCCCCATCTCTACTAAAAATACAAAAAAATTAGCCAGGCATGGTGGTAGGCACCTATAGTCTCAGCTACTCAGGAGGCTGAGGTGGAGAATGGCATGAACCTGGGAGGCAGAGCTTGCAGTGAGCCAAGATCACACCACTGCACTCCAGCCTGGGTGACAGAGTAAGACTCTGTCTCAAAAAAAAAAAAAAAAAAAAGAAAGTCCAGAAATAAACATTTATATTTATGGTCAACTTATTTTCAACAAAGATGTCAAAGCAGCTCAATGGGAGGAAGGATAGTATTTTCCAGAAATGTTGCTGAGACAACAGACTGTCCATAAGTTAAAAAAAAAAAAAGAAAGAAAAAGAGAAAAAGCATTTAGATCCTTACCTCACACCATACACAAAAATTAACTCAGACTATAGATCTAAATGTAAGAACTAAAACTATATAGCCTCTAGAAAAATAGAGAAACTTTTTTTTTCTTTTGAGACAGAGTCTCACTCTGCCACCCAGGCTGGAGTCCAGTGGCGCGATCTCAGCTCACTGCAACCTCCACCTCCCATATTAAAGCAATTCTCCTGCCTCAGCCTCCCAAGTAGCTGGGATTACAGGCACACACCACCACACCTGGCTTATTTTTGTATTTTTAATCGAGACGGGGTTTCACCATGTTGGCCAGGCTGGTCGTGAATTCCTGACCTCGTGATCCACCCACCTCAGCCTCCCAAAGTGCTGGGATTACAGGCACGAGCCACCGCACCCAGCCAAAATTTTCTAAAGGAAAATTCTTTGTGACTTTAGACAAAAACTTCTTAGATGTGACAACAAAAGTACAATCCATTAAAAAGCTGATTAATTTAATTTCATCTAAATTAAAATATTTTGCTCATCAAACCATATAAATAAAAAGACAAGCCACACACTGGGAGAAAATATTTACAAACCATGCATTTCACAATGGACTTGTATCCAAAATATATAAAGATCACTTATAACTTAACAAAAACAAAGGCAAATTTAAAAATGGGCAACCTTTGTGAATTGATGTTTTACAAAAAAAAGAAAAAAGGCATATGGTTAATAAGCATGTGAAAAAAATAGTGAACATCATTAATCTTTAAAGAAATTTAAGTTAAAACTACAATGCAATACCATTTTACACAAGATGGCTATAATTAAAAAGACTGACAATAGTAAGTGGTGGTGAGGATGTGGAGAAATTGCAGCCCTTATACATTGCTGATGGGAACATAAAATGATGCACCACTTTGGAAAATAATTTGGCAGTTTCTTAAAAAGTTAAACATAAACTTACCATTCAACCTAGCAATTCCCGAGGAACACATATGTCTATGTAAAATTTGTAATCATTTATAGCAGCCTTATTTATAATATTTCCAAATGGGAAATAACCCAAATGTGCAAATGTCAACTAGTGAATAGAATTTCAAAATGCAGTATGTAATACAATGTAATAAAAAGGGACTACTTATTGATACATTTTATAACAATGTTGAACTTCAAAAATATTAAGCCAAGTAAAAGGAGCCAGAAACAAAAGACCACATATTGTTTGATTCAAGTTATATGCATTTTTGAGAAAAATGCAAATCTGTAAAGACATAAAGCAGATCAGAGTTTGTCTGGGACTGAGAATGGAAGTGGAAATTAACTGCAAACAAGCAAAATGAACATATTCTAATACTAAATTATGGTGATTATTTAATTTATTTATTTATTTATTTATTTATTTATTTATTTATTTATTTATTTATTTTTTGGGATGGAGTCTCGCTCAGTCACCAGGCTAGAGTGCAATGGCGTGATCTCGGCTCACTGCAAGCTCTGCCTCCAGGGTTCATGCCATTCTCCTGCCTCAGCCTCCCTAGTAGCTGGGACTACAGGTGCCCACCACCACGCCTGGCTAAATTTTTTTGTATTTTTAGTAGAGACGGGCTTTCACCATGTTAGCCAGGATGGTCTCGATTTCCTGACCTCATGATCCGCCCATCTCCGCCTCCCAAAGTGCTGGGATTACAGGCGTGAGCCACCACGCCCAGCCTGGTGATTATTGACAACTCTTTAAATTTATGAAAAATTATTGAATTGTACACCTACAATGGAAAAATTTTATGGCATAAATTATACTTCAATAAAACTGTTTAGTTTTTAAAAACCGACATTTACTGAGCACTTACTAAGTGCCAGGCACTTTCTTAATCATTCTGCATAAATTATCTCATATAATCTTCCTCAAAATACTATGAATGATGTTCATTCTGATATAGAGCCAAGGCCTTTTGAATTTTTGAATTTAGATTTCCTAATGAGACCCATTGTTTGCACAACTCCCATAAAAGTGTATCTATAATTTGAAGGTTATTTTCCTCAAATTTCTTTACCAAAACATTATGAACGGTGTTCACTCATAATTTTAGGGGGAAGATTAAATAAGATCATTTATTAATACCTCCATTTTATGGACAAAATCCCACTTTATAGAAGATTAAATAATCCTATTCTATGGAATTAAGTAATCTCATTTTAAAATCCCATTTTATGAAAGATTTTTAAATCCCATTTTTGAAAGATTAAGATAATTTATTAATATCTCTATTTTGTGAATAAATAAATTGAATCTGATAAACGTTAAATGATTTGCCCAACAGCATGTGACAAATAACTAGGGAGCCAGGACCCTGGCAACCTGACTTCAAATTTTCGGTTCTAAAGCAATGCCCAGATTGTGTCCCAGTAAAATAGCCATCCTGATAGCTCCATCAGAATTGTTTGGATTAATGAGATTTGAAGCATTTTCTAAATTTTCCTGTATTCATAATAACATAGTGTTTTCAACACCTGATACTTTTAAGCCTATATGAAATTGCTGATCTTGAGCCATTTGTGATCTCAAAAGTGGTAATTTCACAATTCAATCCAAAATAACTTTATTAAATTAAAGTTCCTGAAACTAGAGCCCATAGTCAGATATGTGCTATTCTAGATTCTAAAGCTTTCCCATAAACAAATTCAGGCATTATCTCTCTGTTGGTAACAATTCATAAAGCCTTCAGGGTTTTAAACAATAACTGCAAATGATCAGTCTATTCGAATCTATTACCTTCACTATTGCTACCTGCGTGAACTGCTATTTTTCACGTATTGGCAAGTTTCTCTTTTCAGATATCTTCACTAGTATTTCTGAAGACATCTGCTTTGCCTTTCATCCTTTTTAACAGAAGCAGATGAGTAATTACCAACTAGATGGTAATAAAGACCATGGTAGTCCCTCTTATCCACAGAGGACACATTCCAAGACCCCAGTGGGTGACTGAAACGTTGGAGAGTACCAAACCCTATATAAATATACTATGTTTTTTTCCTATACATACATAAATACTTATGATAAAGTTTAATTTATAAACTAGGCACTGTAAGAGATTCACAACAGTAACATAATAAAATAGAACAGTTACATCAATACTCAGAATGGCACATAATTTAAAACTTATGAATTGTTTATTTTTAAAATTTCATCTAATATTTTCAGACTGCAGTTGACAATGGGTAACTAAAACCACAGAAAGTGAAACTGCAGATAAGGGGAAGCTACTGCACAACATGAAGAGTCTTCACTTCTGATGACTTTAGATGGCATATTTGATCACCATTGTTTCTTGAAAACATTGAATGTTACTTTCTTTATAGCATAGAGCTATACATTTATTCTCTTAGTTCTGGACTTGTTTTTGTGAACTTCTGGACCCACCGTAAGTAAACAAGCCTTCTATTTTGCTATGCTTCTCCACAGATATACAGAGAAGTATTGTCCTGTATTCTATTATTAATAAACAGTTCAATCTCCTTCCCTAAATAAACAAAAAAGAAGGTGAGTTTTTCTCTCAAATACCCTCACGTTTTTGGAACAAGCTTTTCAAACTTTTCATTTTATATTCCCGTGACACTGAAAAACCATCTGAGTATATACAAAATAAAAAGACCACCTTAAAAATATGCTAGCTTTTTTCTTCTAGTTGTAAATGTTCTGTTATTTGTTCACTCCAGGATTATGCAATATAAAGGAAGATTAAATATCATTGTCTAAACTGGACCAGCACCCTGTTAGCACCACTACTCACTGAGAGCTTAAGATGTAGACTCTGAAAGAAGGTCTAGTTTTAGATTGCCTCTCTGAGCAACTCTCAAATTCACCCTCTATTTGCCCTATGGAACAGCTGGTTTTATCTTGTGGAATTTTTCTCTGGCCTAGCCTACCTTTTCCTCCCTGCTGTTCTAAGATTGGAGGCTTTCTCTAAATCTGTGCTGTGCAATACCATAGCCACCAACCACCTGAAGCTACTGAGCACTCATAATGTGGTTGATCCCGGTTGATCCATGCTGTATGTGTACAATGTTCACGCCATTTCAAATATTAGTAGAAAAAATGTAAAATATTCCGTTCATAATTTATATAAGGATAACTTTTTGAAAATATTTGGGATAGGTTGGGTTAAATGAAATATATTATTAGAATAATTTAACCTTTTTTATCTTGTTTGTCTACTAGAAAGTTGTTCAAAATTACACATGTACTTTTGTATGATGTACTTTTTATTATATTTCTATTGAACAGCACTGCACTATACTGTCTGTTCATTTTCACGTCTCCCTCTCCCCTTGCTCTGCAGTGGTGGGGAGGTTCCTAATATGCCCTTGTCCAGTCCCTGCTCCCAACATCCCAGGCTGAGCCAGCCCTACTGCACTCATCCAGAAGAAAATTTTGGCAATATTTGTAAAAATATTAAGTGATTTTTTTATATTTAAGGAAAAAATACAGAACTTCTCAAAATAATTCTAGAGTTCATCTGAGGGGCAGGAATACCTAAGGATAATTTGTAAAAGAAGAGTAATGAAGAAGAACCTCTTAGAAATTCATAAGTTTTTGACAAGCTTAAAAATTATAATAAATGGAAATTATTTAGGGCAATGTCTGGTGCATAGTAAGCAAGCACTCAATATGTGATAGCTATTACTATTGTCACTTCTTATCAAAGTATATACAAATAAAACAATTAAAACCTTATAGAATGGGAAAGAAGGATACATTTGTAGATGGTTGGTATAGATCTATGAACAACCATTTTTACGTATATAAAATATTTAATATATTGTGTTTTAGATCTTATTATAGATCAATAGGTGAGAGAAGAGATTAATCAATAATTAGTTTTCAGAATGGCTAATTATTTTGGAGAAAATGAATCCCACATTGATGACAGATGAAATTTTTTAAATATTTATTTTAAGAAAGGTAAAATATAGGTGAATATCTGATATTTATCATAGAAGGATATTCTAAGCTTAATAGTAATTGGGGGGGAAAGGAAGACTAATATATTTAGTAGCATTAAAATATAAATCTTTGTTATATAAAAAAGTAACCAAAAGCTAAAGCAAACTATAAAACAAAGGGAAAAAAATAACACAAATATTATAAAAAGTTAATTGTATTTTAAAAACGTATATACATCAATAAGAAGTGCATTAGCAATCAAATGATAGAAAAATAGACACAAGATAAACATGAGAGGAAATTTTGAACTCTACTAGTACAAATGATCAAAATATTTTAAACTATTAATAATCAGTGCTAGAAATGGTGCAATGAAACAGTGTGTTTGGACAGTACAGATGGGATTCCAGGGGCTACAACCTTCCTAAAAACAATTTGGCAATATATATCAAAAGCTTTCCACCCGTTGATTTTAAGATTCTGTCTTAAAAAAATTATCTAAATTTACCTTACTAGCGGAAAAGTTAAATAAAGTTTTAATATAGCTATATGATGAAATATTACATGGTCATTAAAAGTAATGTGCATGAAGGGCACTTAAAACATAAAGATGGCTTATAATGTTATAATATAATAATATTAGAATAAAATAGCAGGCTCCACCTTGTCTTCTGTAACAATCATTAACATACCAAAATTTTTCTGTGTTATTTGACACATCACAAGTGAGAGAAGCCCAATTGAAATGGAACATGCTACCAAGAGAATTTCATGGAGGTGTCAAGTAGCCAAATGAAGGACAGAGTACAGCTTGGTCAAAGAAGTGGCTAGAACCAGAGACCAAATGGTATCAGAACATCCTGGCCCCACTCTCTGTAATTCTGAAGTCGTGTTCAGATTGACTTGTTTTACACTGCAGGGAATATGGTCATCTTGTGTCCTGGGGTCTAATAACTCACAGCTTTGCCTGCAGGAACTGACTCAAGTTAACATTCTAAGAAAAACAACTCACTGGTCTACTTTGGGTTAGCTATTTCCACCCATGGACAAATCACTGTGGCCAAGAAGGCAGGTTTCTGTGATTGACAGATACAACTTGAAACACATAATTGACAAAGCAAGATAGCTGTTCTGCAAAGGAATAGAGGCACTGGGCAGGGAGGTTAGTAGGTGTTCGTAGCAATTTAAATCTTCATTAAACAGAAAAATTTCAGAAATCTCTGATAGTCCTCAATAAAACAAAAGCAACACATAAAAATGGAAACATACCACTATGTTTTAAACTCTATTAAAATACAAGTCCAATGGTGAAAACACAAGTCCAAGGGTGAAAATCATAACAAAATGGCTACTCCTTAAAGAAGTAAACATTTCATTTAGTCTCCACAACTCCTTGGGGTGATACTACTCTTTTTTTTTTTAAGATGGAGTTTAGCTGTGTCATCAGGCTGGAGTGCAGTGGTGCCATCTCAGCTCACTGCAACCTCCACCTCCCGGGTTCAAGCGATTCTCCTGCCTCAGCCTCCTAAGTAGCTGGGATTACAGGCACATGCCACCATGTCCGGCTAATTTTTTTTTGTATTTTTCATAGAGACAGGGTTTCACCATGTTGGCCAGGATGGTCTCCATCTCCTGACCTTGTGATCTGCCCGCCTCGGCCTCCCAAAGTGCTGGATTACAGGTGTGAGCCATCGCGCCTGGCCTATTTTTAATTTACAGATAAACAAACTGAGTCATAGTTTACTAAGTTACTTGGTTACTAGTTGGTATTCCAGAGAAGATGAGTACTTAGGAAGTTTGATTCCAATGCCTGTAGTTCAAACATGTAATATAAATACAACAAGAATTAATCAAGATAGACATTCAAAGATTTGCAGGAGAAGAGAAAGGACTTTTGGTAAGCATGCACAGGAACCCAGCTCTATTCCAGGTGTTTTCCATTCATTGGATCCTCTAATACTAATAATAAAGACTCCATGAAGAAGACGTTATTACTTCCATTTTACAGACAAGCAAATGGAGGCTTAGAGAGGTTGAATGACTAATAAAGTGTATTAGTCCATTCTCAAGCTGCTATAAAAACACTCCCCAAGAACTAGGTAATTTATAAAAGAAAGAAGTTCAGTTGAGTCACATTTGCATACGGCTGTGGAGGCCTCAGGAAGCTTAGAATCACGGCAGAAGGCGAAGGGGGAACAAGGACCTTCTTCACATGCTGCAAGAGAGAGAAGTGTGAGCGCAGGAAAAAGTACCATTTATAAAACCATGAGATCTCATGAGAATTCACTTACTATCACGAGAACAGCATGAGGGAAACCACCCCCATAATCCAATCACTTCCCTCCCTTGACATGTGGGGATTACACTTCTAGGTCAGATTTGGGTGCGGACACAGAGCAAAACCATATCATGAAGTGTAGTGATAGAATAAATTCTGAATCAGCTCTGTCTAGCTCCCAGCTTATTAGAGTGAACTTTGAAGTACTATTGCCAAAGAACTCTTTCCCTAAAGGGTGGGGGCATGTGTGGGGGGAGGGGTAGTTAGGACTGCAAATAAGAGGTGAGCATGAAGCAGGCACCTTATCTCTTTATCTCTGATTTAGCTGAATCTTAAATAGCAGAATGTATTTTATGATAAAAGAAGATGAAAAGAAGTAAGTCACTTCTAATGTTTGCATCTGATAAAGGGTAACTTCCAAATATATAAGGAACTCCTTCCTGCAAGTCGATAGCAAAACAACTAATAACCTTATATAAAAAATGGGCTAACGACTTACACATTTCTCCAAAGAGGACATGCAAATGGTCAAAACGTATATGAAAGGATACTCAATGTGACTAATCATCAGGGAAATACAAATCAGAAACTCAATGAGATATTACCTCACACCTGTTATGATGGCTATCATAAAAAAAAAATAAAAAGCAAGTATTAGTGAGAATGGGGAGAAATTGGAATTCTTGTGGTGAGGATGCAAAATGATGTAGCTGCTATGGAAAACAGTATGCAGCTTCCTCAAAAAAATGCAAAATAGAACTACCATATGATCCAGCAATCCCACTTCTTTTTTTATTTTATTTTATTTTATTTTTTATTATACTTTAAGTTCTGGGGTACATGTGCAGAATGTGCAGGTTTGTTACATAGGTATACACGTGCCATGGTGGTTTGCTGCACCCATCAGCCCGTCACCTACATTAGGTATTTCTCCTAATGCTATCCCTCCCCTAGCCCCCCATCCCCTGACAGGCCCTGGTGTGTGATGTTCCCTTCCCTATGCCCACGTGTTCTCACTGTTCGTCTCCCACTTATGAGTGAGAACATGCAGTGTTTGGTTTCCTGTTCTTGTGATAGTTTGCTGAGAATGATGGTTTCCAGCTTCATCCATGTCCCTGAAAAGGACATGAACTCATCCTTTTTTATGGCTGCATAGTATTCCATGGTGTATATGTGTCACATTTTCTTTATCCAGTCTATTATTGATGGACTTTTGGGTTGGTTCCAAGTCTTTGCTATTGTGAATAGTGCCACAGTACACATATGTGTGCTTGCGTCTTTATAGTAGAATGATTTATAATCCTTTGGGTATATACCCAGTAGTGGGATCAGCAATCCCTCTTCTATACATGTCCAAAAGAATTAAAATCAAGATTTTAAAGTAACACTTGCATTCCATGTTTATTGCAGCACTATTCACAATACCTGAAATGTGGAAACAACCTACATGTCCACCAGTACATGAATGGATTTTAAAATGCAGTATAAACATACAATGAATTATTATTCGACTTTTAAAAAGAAGGAAATCCTGCAATATGTGACGACATAGTTAAACCTTGAGGACATTATGCTAAGTGAAATAAGCCAGGCACAGAAGGACAAATACTGCATGCTTTCACTTATATGGGGTATCTAAAGTAGTCAAACCCTTACAAGCAAAGAATAGAAGGGTGGTTGAAAGAAGCTGGAGCAATGGGAAAATGGGAAATAGTTAATCAACAAGTACAAAATTTCACCTATATAAGATTGATGAGTCCTAGAGATCTGCTGTACAACATTGTGCCTATAGATAATAATACCATATTATACACCTAATATCTTACCACAATAAAATAAAAGTCAGAAGTCAAATTAATATTGTCTTTCTAAACAGATCAGAGTAGAGCAACCCAAGCCAAACTGCGTAGTGCTGGTCAATAGCCAGTAGGTTAGTCTGTTCTCACACTGCTAATAAAGACATATCTGAGACCGGGTAATTTATAAAGGAAAGAGGTTTAATGGACTCACACTTCCACATGGCTGGGGAGGCCTCACAATCATGGCAGGAGAGCAAGGGACATCTTACATGGCGTCAGGCAAGAGAGAGTTTCTGCAGGGGAACTCCCCTTTATAAAACCATCAGATCTCATGAGACTTATTCACTATCATGAGAACAGCATGGGAAAAACCTGCCCCCATGTTCCAATTACCTCACACCAGTTCCCTCCCCACATGTGGGAATTGTGGGAGCTACAACTCAAGATGAGATTTGGGTGGGGACACAGCCAAACCATATCAGCCAGTAAAATTTCAAAAATAGGTGAAATGTGGTCCCCGCCTTCTTAGATCTCAAAATCAAGGAGCTAAGCAAAGAATAAGTGCAGTGTGATAAGTGTAATCTTAAAAGGTATGTATAATGTGATGGTAGCACATACACACATGTTTTGTGTATTAGGGTTAAAGGCAGGCACAGAAAGCTCCTAAAAGGATGAGAGAGGTAAGTTCGGTACTCCACCAACAGAAGCATCCACACTGTATGAAAAAGTGTAGGGAAGGAGTGAACTGCTAGCCAGCTGGGGGCCTATGAATAGCAACTAAAGGGGCTTTAATAGGATGAGAAGGGATGTGAGGCCTTTTATTTCATGCAAAAAATTTTAAAGTTTTAAATTTATTCCGACAGTGATTTAAGTATGAAATTTTAAGCAGAAGATTAACACACCCAATCAAATTTACATTGACATTGCATATATGCCCTGAAAAATGTGATCATAAGAAAAAGTCATGGTAAGTTTTCTGCTTAGATTTGGTGATGAGAAGAAAGAAATTGATAATAACTGAACTTTACACAAGGGCACTTGCTTCTACTTGGTGTTTAAGTTTATTTGAATACTAACTACAGTGTTTCTATGTTTAAATATATACACAGACATCAGTGATAACTAATTAGTCAATTATTGTCCTTTGAAGATTTATTAAGAATCTTATTTTATTGGGTATCTTCTTTCTCAGTTGTCCACACATAGGATGATTATACAAGGCTGGTGCCTAATTGAAGGAAGCACACTAGTTCTATAGACAGACAAGTCTGAGTGGCTTCAGATGTCAAATCCTGAAACAAATTTTCAATCTGATATAATCAAACTGATGACTTTTAGTAGCAAAAATGAAAAGCTGAAAATGTCTGATTTTCCTCTTCCTTATGTCTCCATATAATAGGTGTTCACTAAATATTTATTAAATAAATAAATGAAACTCAATTCAGGTCTTCTCAAAGACTTATATTGAGAAATTTTAGGGCATTGGAAACTGTCACCGGCAGTATAAAGACTTATAAGACAAAGTTATGGTCCTATTTTTCAAACTATTATTAAACACAAACATCTATTGTAACGCTAATGTAATCAATGCAATAACAAGGTGCTGTGGAGCATAGAGTTTGGCTGCCTAGCCTGGAGCATGAAGAGATCAGAAAAGTTTCCTGGAGAAATTGAGGCATTGGCTGAGTCTTAAAAAGGGGTTGGCGGCTGCAGCATGAGGGTTTATGAGTGACCCTTATCCATTTTGCTCAATATACCAGGGACAAAGATTTATAATATAATTTTGCCTTGCAAAATGGTACACATTTCACCTGCCAGTGCCTGGAAATCATCTTATTCACTCCTAAGTCATCTCCATTCCATCTCTACCATACCACAACAATCACAGGGAGTTTTAATTAACCATAAAGAAATTGCTGAAGTGGATGAGATTTAGTATGAAAGTTAAACTCATATAAAACAAGCAAGGCCACTGGCCTGGAAAAGGCCTTTCTTCTGTGTGTACTCCTCCTCCACGTCTCCTACAGACAACAGAGTTCTTTGGATCAAAGAATCAAAGAATCCTGGAGCAACCAAGAAAAGAGTTCCTTTTGTTTTTGTTCAAAACAGTTCCGGTAAACCAGCCCCAGGCTGCAAATCTCCAAATCATAAATAATTGCTATGGTGTGCAGTGAAATGCTAGTGCCTAGGGCAGTCACTAATGTCAGAGTAAGGCAGGACTGACATCTGCAAAAGTGTAATAATAAACTTATCTAAGGATCCAAAATGTTTGTTGTGGATACCTTACTGAGAGAGGAGGATTAGCCTAGGGAAAAAGATAAGAGCTTTGGGATCAGACACAAATGAATAGAATGCTGCCTCTCCTGAAAATAATTATGTGGCCTTGAGCAAATCACTCAACCTCCTTGAATTTTAGGCTCTACATATGCAAAATGGGAATAATGAAATCTTTCTTGCAGAATTATTCTGAAATTCAGTGATTTTAAGCCTCTAACACAGGTAGCACAGAGTAGGCACTTAATCATTGGTATTGTTACTTTCATTTTCTCACCATCCTAACACCTAAGGAATTCTAATTGTTCAATACATGTTGTTTTAGAGAGGAAGGTAGCAGCCCCAAAATCTTCCCTGATCACTGTTATATACTTAGGCTCGCTGTACGAGGCCAAATCTATGCCTTCTTGCTAATTGGAAATCAATAAAACATCCAGCTAAATCAGATCTATTTATAGGACTGACAGCAATTCAGTTTACTAAAAGAACAAAAATTTCGTTTTTAAAAAAGAGAAAGAAAAAGACAATTGCAATTGCAATCAAAAGTTAGTTTTAGGCAGCTTGCAATGGCTCACACTTGTAATCCCTGCACTTTGGGAGGCCAAGGCCAGTGGATCACTTGAGACCAGGAGTTTGAGACCAACCTGGCAACATGGTGAAACCCAGTCTCTACTAAAAAATATAAACATTAGCTGGGTGTGGTGGCCTGTGCCTGTAGTCCCAGCTACTCGGGAGGCTGAGGCAGGAGAATCACTTGAACCCGGGAGGCAGAGGTTGCAGTGAGCTGAGATTGCACCACTGCAATCCAGCCTGGGCAACAGAGTGAGATCCTGTCTCAAAAAAAAAATTAATTTAAAATAATTTGTTTGGTTTTGTGTTTGCTTTTCATTTCACTGAATATAGAATTAATAAAGGTAAAGCATCTCCAAGGAAAAACATCATTAACAAGAAGACTAGACCTACATTAGATTACATATTAAAACAGAATTCAGGCTCTTTTATGGACAAGTAGCTTGAATATTTACTTTAGTCCATCTTTTGCCCATTAAATATTTCTATATTTCTAAAGTACTGTGTGCTAAGAAATATGTATTTATCTTTGGGTGATATTTTCTGTAATCTGATATATCACAGAGAATCTCTTTCCAATTCATTGACTATTTCCATGAACAGATATCAAAACTGTAAAATAGATGTTTGAGTTTTCTTTATTTCACATACAGAAAAATACTTTTTTTCCTTCCAATCAATTAGGAACAGTTTTGAAAAGAATAAAATGCACAATTTATATTATATTTATGACTATAAAACAAACAAAGAGTTTGTTTTATTTATCTATTTAATATTAATAGTAAACCAAGTTACATAACTTAGATGACAAATCTATGATAGGTCTAGATGAGTCAGTTGTCTATAGCAATGAAATTAAGTAGGTAATTGTCAGGATTCACCATCACTTTGTATATTGAATGTAATCTAAATGCTGTACTTTATAATTTAAACTTTCACTGTTAATATAAGATGCATGCCTTGTTCTTAAAGATAAAACATTGCAGCAAAAGTTTGCTTTGCAAACTGAAAGATTTAAAATGATTACTTTAACATTCTTCTTGTCCGTAGGAACATTTCACAATATTATGGGTTACGGCAGAGAGGGCTCAGCAGTTAGTTCTTCAGAGCTTCACTTCTCCTTCCTTATTGTGGAGTAATTGCTGGGAACTGGCTGCTCTATGAGAGATTACATTTCCTAATCCCCTCCTCCTTTCATCTACATATGGGCATATAGCTGACTTGTCCCAGTGGAACCGAAGCAGGAAAGATATATGTCACTTCCCTTTCAACATGGTTAAAAAGTGAGTATGCCTTTCTTACCCACACCAACTCCTTTTGCCTGTAAGATGTCAACACCCAAGGCAACCTGAGGAGCCAGGTGTTGAAGATGATAGACCACCCCACCAGCAATCTGGACCCTACATTGCACAGGGCAAAGCCCCCCCCTACTCCCCCACTAGGAACATCTGTATTAGAGTGTTAATAAACAAGAATAAATAGTTTATCTTGTTATGTGGCTAAAGTTTTGAGATTTGTATTTTACAGCAGCTAGTATTACTATAACTAATATGTGGAAGCTAAAAACATGTCACAGCAGCCAGCTGGGGCCTCAGACAGAGCTTCTTATTGTGTGGTGTCTTAGTAGATTCATCATAATATAGGTTTTAGCTCTCTATATCATGGGTCCAAAGTTGACTTTGCTCCGGTGACCTAAAACTTACATTAACCAAAATCACAGGAAATGAATTTGTAAACCTAAATGGCAATATGTTAATTTACCAAGACTTCTATACTTATCATGCTGTCTAGAGGACCCAGGACAACTATTCCTAGAGACATATTCACCGATCTTAGCTTTTGACCTTCTCCTTTTTCTCCTAGATTGTATATACAGCACAATCCTTATGTTAATATACTCATTTTAAATAGTCAAGTTATAGCACAAATGAGTAGATAAATAGTATACCATTATCTCCTTGCAAATATACCTCACTCAGTAGAGATTCTGAAATATTTTATTTTTGTACCATTTCTTAAGATGATTTACTTCACAAATGACTATATGAATTCACTTTAGGTAAATATTTGCTAATTTCCCACTAAAGGAGTGACCTTTTCCACCATACAGGGGCCACCTTGACTGTGACGAAGATAGATACATATGACCTAAGGGGTAGAAGAAAAGGAGTAGGAATGAAAAAAAAAAAAAAACAAGGTAGAACAATTAGGTATTAAAGGATAAAGAGCCCTGAAGAAAGATGCATACATCAAACTAAAAGGATATTTCCCATGATGTCAGCATCTAGATTTCTGGCCAAGACAAGTTAGGTTGTTGGATTATTTACAGAATCACTGCACTTATGTTTGTGATCCATAAACATTTTGCTATGTCATCCTGCATGCCTGAAGTAAATGAACTTCTAGAATGTACTTATGAAACACCTGCCTCCTAGGCTATCCTTCCCTCAGAGTCAAAACCTAGGTCAAAAGTGTCCTATCAAAAAGTAAAATTTCCTCTGCCGGGGATTAGAAGGACAGTTTTAAGTGGTCAGGTTTTTCAGGATATAAGAAAAAGAGAAACATTGAAGTAAAGAAAAATTGTTCTTAATATTAAATCTGTATGATTCCAAGAGAACAGAATGTATCTATTGCAAAGTTTGGAGTGTGCTTAAACTCAATTCAACATAAGAAGTATCTTACTACAAATCAAAGGTGGCAGACTGAAATATGTTTTAAATTTTATGTTTTTAGCAAAATTCTGTACAGGGACTCTCTTCTAGTCCACCATGATATGAAATACCTTGTTTACCGTTGTGTTGTCCTTCATTGTGTTTATCTGGTATACCAGATAAGATGTAAGCTCCCCAAGGCAAAAACTGCATTCTTCTTCCTTTATGCTTTCAACAGCCAAGGTTCTCCAGAATACAGTGTACAAGGAAGGTTAGCAAGACAGTCCATGAAAATGGAGAAATAATTATTAGAATTGTTATTAACAATCTCATTCTTCTGATTAACTATATTTTATAAAGCAACAGAATATCTTATTTGTAAAATATGTATTTAGAGACTACATGCACAAAACTTAATTAATAGGAGTGCATGACTAAAAATTATATAGACCACTACCTTACGGAAAATAGCATAAGAAATTTAAAACAATCATGAAAAGAATGTGCTGTCGGGGCAGTTGCCATGCTGATGGTGTGGCTGCAGAGAAAATGAAATGGATGCCCTGGCAATAGAATTCATTCTTTCATCAGCAATTATGCATTGGGTGCCTACCAAATGCCAAAGGCCTTTGCCACTGGAGAAGTGATTGGGTTGTTAGAAATAGAGTAAATAAAACAAATAGTAAAAATAGGTAAATCCATGACCATCCCCTCCCACACTTCAGGATTATCCTCCCTTTCCTTAATAGTGCTCTGATCCTTATCTTCAAGTAAGGATCCCTGAAAGAACCCAACCATTTCTGTGCAACTGAGAAACTACAAACTACACTATGATTATTTAGTGAATATGTATTAATATACTGAGCGTGAGATTGCCAATTGTGAAAAAAAAAGATGAATTAATTCAAATGATTCCAGTTTTGCTCAGGATCGTCAAGTACATATACTTTTCAAATACATGGACTAGGATCCCAAGAAACTAAATGTATATCCATATACATTTGTTGTGAGTGCCAAAAAATAATTTCTCACTATGCCCTAACAACCATCCTAACAGATACCTAATGAGCCCTGGATGCTAATCTCCTAAATAGATATAGACAAACAGCAAATTTGTTAACAAGATTAAAATTATAGTGATCCTTAAGTTTAATATACATGAGGGGAAATTCATAATTGGCAAGTTATAAACATAAGGCATCCATATGATTGGGAATAATGTGATGCAAAAAGGAAATATCTGATGCATGTTTGGTTTTTCTTTTCTATTTCTCCCCCTTTAAGAACATTCACATGCCTTGCTCAGTCACGTGATTTTCTGTCTTGCAGACATCTGGCTGAATACATCATGATGTTGTAATTCATGTTGTGTCTCTCAAGGCAATGTTTCTGTAAAATGCAATCCCTGTTTAAACAAAAATGACCTTCTCTCTCCCTAGTCAAATTAAGATCCAGAAAAATAGTTTGGAGTGTTATGGCTACCAGCATTTTCTATGTCTGTAAGAAAGAAACTTCAACAAGATTCAATCCTTCTTCGAAAGACCAACAATAGCCAAGGGAAGTCTATTTATATAAAGTTGACAATGAGAAAACATGTGGTTGAACTGATTCCTTAGAAAGTGGGGGAACAGGAATCAGCCAACCAGTCAAGCTCTTCTCCATGCACTCCAGATAGCCAATGAATAAGAACTCACCCCAGAAGAATATTGCCTTTCTTGGTTCACCAAGCTGCCAGAAACAGTTCCTGCTGTGAAGCACTAGACAAAGAGAAAATTTTGAATGTCACTGGCTTCCCTCCATCATTGTTTACTCAGTTTAACAGCAATTTTCAATACATTTTTCATTGCCCAATAATCTTCTGTTTAATTGCTAGACATAGGATCTCATCTGATTCAGATTTCTGTATTAAAATGTAAAGAGATTATAGTAATCCTATTAGGTGAAATAATTAAGAATTAAGCTATTGAATGTAAAGGAATGCACTAGTAAAAACATAAACCCATTTTTCAAAAATGATAAAATTTCAACATACCTCAGTGTATGTACATTGTATAAAACATTGAATGTATGTGATGAAAATAATATGATATAGAGTATATCCAAATTATTTAGTCTTAAACTTTCAGTGACAAATAAAAATCTCTAGTAGTCTAGCCACATAGTCTTGAAGAAAGGAAAAGAGGAAGCCTGCCAACTTAGGAACTGATTAAGTATTCAGCAGAGAATTTTCTGTGGCTCTGTCTAAAAGCCCTGTCAGTGCATTTAACTCTGGACAAAAGGTTGTTGAAATCACACAAAGGAGTTTCTCAATTCAAAGGCTATAGATGAAATAATATTCACATAGAAGCATGCCAGATCTTCAAAGTTTAATAATGGCCATGTCTATGCATTTTATAACTTTAATGTGTAAGCAGAGTAAGAACTTGATATAAAACAAGCATAAAGAAATCTCTTTAGGAATGAAATTTTTAGTGTTAATTTACACATTTATTTCAAGGCACACATTCAGGAAGAAGGCAAGCTTTAGTTCAGACACAAAGAAGAAATGTGATCAGGTTATTTTGCCCCAGTATAAAAATAGCGTCATTTGTATGAGGCCTAAAAAGTCTCATTGTGTGAAAAGTGACCAAAGACTCTTGTATCAGAACATTTGTATAATGAGATTGGAAGTTTAGTAGAACGGTCTGAAATCTTGCATTCAAAGTCACCATATATTAAAATTTGGATAAGGCCTAAGAAGTAAGCAAAATGACTCCATGTTCTTAATAGCTCTTTGATAAAACTTCTTTACGTTCATGGGCCAATGGGTACAATGGCTTCAGTCAATATTAACTCAACAATAGAGGGAAAAACAACAGGTCAGTTTGCCTCCTCTCGGCGGATGTAAATGCTGTGATCTTCTTGTTATGACTCTGTGCTCAATCTGTGGTAGAATCATAGAAGGTTCTCATTTAAAAGAACTCAGTGACATTTAAGACAGAGTTTGTCAAACTATGTTCTACACATTCCTCAGCTCCACAGGGAGGAGAGGGTTAAAATGAGAAGGAAGCCAGAAAAGCAGAACTTCAACCTCGTCTCTGGAAGACCAGACCGTCTCTTCTCCTATGGGTCTAAATATGGGGCTCCACGTAATAAGCCATTAAAATGAAGAAAAAGGGAAAGAAGGAGATGGAGGAGGGAGTGTCCAACTAATTGTTTTAATTGAAAATTATCTCATTGTTAGAGAAAATAAAACTAGAAACTTGGGGAAGCTAATTTCTCAAAATCACAATGCTAGGTCGAGGCAGAACCAAACCATGGATACGGGTCCTTTGCTCAAATTCTTCTCAATGAAGACTCTGTGATGAAGAGGCCACTTCCATTTAAAGGCAGCGACACTTAGAAAATCACAGGCATTAAAACTTAGAAGAGGTCACCTTATCCAACGTCCCAGCCAGCACAGCCATCCTTTCACAGCATCCATGACATTCAGCCTCCTCTCAGACATGGGAAGATCACCTCTTCATGAAACAGCAGATTCTTCAAGGGTAAGGACACTGCTAATCTAAAAGCATTTTTTGATACTGGAAAAAGTACTGAGACTTTTCTCCTTTAGCCTGAAACTTGATTTTACGGGTGGGCCAAGCAAAGAGATAAACAATCCAAAATCATCACAAATGTGATTTTCCAGTACTCATATTTAATAGTACTTTTCCAGTATTTGTATCAACTTAGGCAGAGCCTGCTGTACTCCAACAAGTTCAATGTATCATTAATGCTTTCAGTTGCTAGTCACAAAACAATTTGACTAATAGTGATGTAAACCATAAATATATATATTTGAGCTTTTTTTTTTAATTAAGTAGTTTGGAGATAGGCAGTATCAATATAAGGTCAGTGGGCCTGGTGCAGTGGCTCACACCTGTAATGCCAGCACTTTGGGAGGCCGAGGCTGGTGGATCACTTGAGGTCAGGAGTTTGAAACCGGCCTGGCTAACATGGTGAAACCCCATCTCTATTAAAAATACAGAAATTAGCCAGGCATGCTGGTGGGTGCCTGTAATCCCAGCTACTTGGGAGGCTGAGGCAGGAGAATTGTGTGAACCCGGGGAGGCAGAGGTTGCAGTGAGTAGAGATCGTGCCACTGCACTCTAGCCTCGGCAGCAGAGCAAGACTCCATCTCAAAAAAAAAAAAAAAAAAAAAAAGTAAATAAGGTCAGTGGCTCCATTATGCTTTTAAGGACCCAGGCTCCTTGGCTCCTTTGATCTGCCATTTTCGGCATGTCAACAATGTCTTTTCTCATCTGGTTAGTAATACTGTGTCCTATCTGAAGGACAACAGGTTTAGAAAAAGGGAGAGCCCAAAGAGAAAAAAATTATTCTAATATCTCAAATACTGCACATCTGAAAGGGTACTCTGACTTATAAAATTAAACACAGGATTCCTTTGGTTGCTATATCCCTAGATAAAATAAAATAATCCGGCTAAACTGGTCAATTACAGCAGTCCTGTGTTATATCATTCAGCTCATCTCTTACTTTGATTTTCAAATACTTCCAGTTACAGTACAGTTTTCCATGAAGAATTTCCTATTAAAAAAAGGCAATTAGTAGACCAGAAGACTATATATTTCAATGTAGTAAAAATAAAATAAATAAAACAGTAGTAGCTTTGAAGCTATACGGATCTCAATTCTTATTGGTGTTCTGCTATATATGAGCTTTGTGAACATGAATGGGTTATTGAACATTTTGGAATTTTAATTTCTTCATCATTAACATGGGAGCATTCACAAATAGGAGAAACTATATAAAAGTTCAAGCAAAGAGGAGGAATTTACTAAACCACTTAAGGAAAGAGGGAAGGAAGAAAGGAAGAAAGGGAAGGAGGGAAGAAGGGAGGGAGGGGAGGGAAGAAGGGGGGGAGGGAGGGAAGAAGGGAGGGAGGGGAGGGAAGAAGGGGGGGAGGAAGGAAGGAAGGAAGGAAGGGCAGGAAGGCAGGAGGGAAGGAAGGTAGAGATTGAAGAAAGAAAGAGGTAAATATGTATATTTTCATTATTAAGTTTATATTCTGACTTATATGTGAGTGTCATCTGAGATAGGTTAGGGTAAGTCCATCAAAAATTATCTCTGAAATCAGGCAAATTTTGGTTTATGGTCCAGGGGCTAGACTTAAGCTCCAGTATTCCAATCAATAAACTACCCATACATTATCAGCTCCAGCAGCCATAACAATCTCAAATGACAGCTTCAGATTATAAATTCTGGGCATCACATCCAATAGCTTTAGCAAGTTCTTCATTGTTCTTGGGTCTGTGTACAAAGAATGACATAAACCAGGTCCCTGCCTTCTAGCAGTCATCCTCTGAGATAGTCAATACAGACACATCCATAAGAGGCATGGAGACAGCAGGCTGGTCGTGGTGGCTCACACCTGTAATCTCAGCACTTTGGGAGGCTGAGGCAGGTGGATCACGAGGTCAGGAGATCGAGACCATCCTGGCTAACATGGTGAAACCCCGTCTCTACTAAAAATACAAAAACAAAATTAGCTGGGCATGGTGGCTGGCGCCTGTAGTCCCAGCTAGTCAGGAGGCTGAGACGGGAGAATGGCATGAACCCTGGAGGCAGAGCTTGCAGTGAGCTGAGATCGTGCCACTGCACTCTGGCCTGGGTGACAGAGCAAGACTCTGTCTCAGAAAAACAAAACAAAACAAAAAAAGGCATGGAGACAGCAAAATAAAACCAAAATGCAAGGAGCCAGGCTACAACATGATGTAAATTCAGGTAGAATATTCTTCCTCCACCATTAGAGTCTTATTTTGCCTTCCAACAGCAGAATTCAAGTTAAGAGTCTTGTTTTCTGCCTGCATCTTGTTACTGACTACGGTCACAGAAAAACAAACTCTTCTGAAAATCCCTGAATGTGATCGACATGACTCAAGCATGTGGGAGTTATTATTAAGTGTGACAGAGCACAAAATATTTTTCCTTAAGCTAAAGAACTTTACCAAACATCATCCAGTTTAAAACAACATACATTTTGATTGAAACTGCAAAGAGCATATTATGTTTGCAATGCAGCTGGCAGGAGGCAGATACAGACTGTCCATCACTGGGAAGAATGTGAGGGAAAATACATCATTCAGACTGGATCACTCCTGCAAACAGCTATCAACTATAGGCATCACAATTACCTATGCAAAGAAGAGCTTAATTTCAATGTGATAAATGACATTTGGGCATGTATCCAATACTACAATAGTTCAAACATTTATCAAGCTAGCATTTTTCTCCAAATGCTTTCTCTCCATAAGTGGAGCAGTAAAAGATTGCCTTACAAACAAAGAGTGAAAAGATTCTCAAAGGATCTACACCTTCTGAAATAGCACTATGATTCAGGTACTTCTTGACCAACAAATTGTTTTTGGTATTCAGGTTTGTTTTGTTTTGAATTTGAACAATTCAAGTTCTTCTAATCCTTTTTTTCTGTAGCATCAATAGATCTGCTTGATTTTTAGATCTGCTTGATTTTTTTTTCTGACAATTTGTTAACCAAGTTTTCTGAGTGTGAATATGCCATTGTCCCAGGCCATGTGTCTGCACTGAATTCTTTCTTTGGGAAAGATGCCGTGATTCATAGCTTAACACCATATCTCTTCTGCTTCTGCCACCTTCCCCTAGTCCCTCATCAGAGAGTTGTCCATAATAAATAAAGAGCACCTACTTAGAAATGTGTCCCAGGAGGATGCTGTTGCAATACTGGCAGCGCATCACTAACTTCGTATGAAGAACACTGGCACCAAATTTTTCTAGATTTCAGATGTTGAGCTCTGTTTTTAAGTCTCACCCTCACCACACACATTTGGGTACTTAGCCAGCTGGTCAGCTGGTCAATTCCTATGGATCAAGATGAGAGCAAGTAGTTATTCTTCTGAGAGCTTCCGATGCCTAAAAAAGTAGGAAAATAAAGCCAAAATGAGGAAACCAATGTATAATAAACCTAAAGAGATTGTCAAATTGCAGGAGCCAGAAGTAGATATTAAATGAAATCTGCAGCATAGCACCTGGGCCCCTGACTGATCTCCCCTTCACTCCAGGCACATCATATGCTTCTGTACCTAAAATCTCCAGGGCTGCAAATGTGGAACTCTACCCAGCCAGAGGACCTGAACATGCGCCATCATTCTCTCGCTGGAATATCCTCTCCCACTTCCCTTCTTCTCATCAGCCACTGTGCCTAAATGATTTCAACAAATCCGTCAGGTGCCAACTCAAGTGTCAGTTTCTCAGAGATTTTCCCAAACTTTATATGTGCTCATTGCACCCTCCGCTTATCTCAGGGTATGATTTCCACCTGCTTTTTCTCTGAGACTGTAAGTTCCATGTGGCCATGAACCACATCGGTTTATACAATAGTATATGCCCATCCACTAACTCAGCATATGGCACTTAGTAAATGCTAATAAATATTTATTGAATGAATGAAACGTGTAAGGACTCAGTGAAGTTATGTGTGTCGAATACTTCATATAAAACTTGGCATATGAAAGTCTCTCGGTTCCTTTTTGATATATTCAGTATTAACAATTATGAGCACTTGGCAGCAGGCCTGGAAAGCAACCAGTCCAGATTGCTTCAGAATCTTCAGGAAGAATTTATTCAGAAGAGAAGCAAAGCGACTCTTTGATAGTTTTGACTATGTGCAAAATTGAATTGAGAGGCATTGCACAGAGTTATCGGAGTACAGAAGACTTAGGCTTAGATTAAAAGATTAAGAAAAATTTAAAAAGCAAACAGGCTACAGCAATAGTTGAAAAGACATAAAATGAAGGAAATATAATTTATATATATTACATGGCTTAAAAATGAACATGATCACATTTAAAAAAACTACTAGGTAAAAAGTTAACCTAAGATTGTAATATAACTATATTTTGAGAATTAAAGGAGGATTAGGAAAAAGAAACTGGGAGATTAAAATCCTAACTCATCATAATTGAAGTCAGTTGACCAATTAAATCTAAAATTAAATAGTGGGCTGGGCGTTATGGCTCATGCCTATATCCCAAGACTTTGGGAGGTCAAGGCAGGAGGATCATTTGAGGTCAGGAGTTCAAAACTAGCCTGGACAACATAGGGAGACTCTGTCTCTACAAACAACAACAGCAAAACAGATTAGCTGAATATTGTGGTACAAACCTACAGTGTCAGCTACTTGGGTGGCTTATCTGAGGCCAGGAGGTTGAGGTTAAGTGAACTGCGATCGCACCACTGCACTCCTGTCTGGGTGGTGGAATGAGACTTTGTCTCTAACAAAAATAAAAAGTAAGTAAAAAATAAAATAAAACAGAAGAATCAAATCAGTATATGCACACTATTTTGAAAATGGACACAAATAGCAGAATACATTGCTAAAAGGTGAGCACAGCAGTAGGTGGGGAGCATAAAGCTCTTTTGCACTGTCTTTTAGTAATAATACAATTAGTGTGTTTTATTTTGACTAAAATAAAAATTAATTTAATATATGCTTTAAAATATTTAAAATTACTTTATTGAAACATTTAAGTAGAAAGTCATAACATCTATTTACCATGTTTTAAAATACTTCAATATGCATAAAGATTTAAAGAAATAGCACATAAAGTAGGATTTGTATTTCATTCACTAATCCCACTCTATTTCAATTATGGCTGAATTTCACCACACGTCTGTATGACTGACAGAAATCCAGCTTTCATCAAACTAACATCAGTCTAGAAGCCATGGTGTTGTTAGTGATCATACATTTCTAATTAACTTTTCTTAAAATAAAAACTTCTGGAATAGACATTTGTGACACTTTGTGGTTATCCAGTGTTTTGAATACCTTCCTTTGTTGGGGAACTTCCCACACTAGGAGGACTTTCTCCCCGTGGGAGCAGTCAGATATTCACTTTCCTGGCCTTCCTATAGCTGAGGTCGAGGAATGTGACTTGGGCTTTGCCAACGCTCTCAAGATGGAGACTCAGGAAAGAGCACCGTGAGGGTGCAGACACTGCAATGTACAGAGGCTGTTCCTGGACAGGCGGTAGCAAGGAAGGTGAGGTCTGAACTCTAATACTAGGACCAGGTACCATTGTCAACTTTCCTCAGTGGTGGGAACAGTGAGATCTTGCAGGAGTCACCACAGAGGTATTTTCTTTTTTAAACAGGATCCAAATCTAGTTCATCCATCGTGATTGGTTCATATGTATCATGTATCTCATCTAATCCACAGGGTCATTCTTTGTCCATTTTTATTTCTTTGCAACTTAAGTTGAAAAACAATGTTTACCACATAGAGTTTCTCAAAGTTTGGATTTTACTGAATGCATCCCCATGGTGTAGTTTAAATGCCTCTCTATCTTCTTCAATAATTACAAATAAGTAGATGCTTTAAAGATTAAGTAGTTTCATGCTAAAAATTTTTAATGGCAAAACTGCTTCATGGATGCTATTGTATTCTTCCACCAGGAGGTTCATAATTTCTGATTGTCTTATTTTTGTTTTGTTAGCAGCTACTGATGACCAATGCCTAGATCTGTTAGTTCCTTAGTGCTTACAAAATAAGGATCTTCTAATTATCATTCCTTTTTTATGTATTAGTTGGAATTCTTCCATAAAGAGAAACTTCCTCTTACATACTATTTGGTTACAATTCACATGAGAAAGGCAGAATAAATGCCTGATTATTTCCCTTTATTTGCCAGTTTGCCAGTAATTAATTGGTTCTCTAGTACCCTTTAATACTAGATGGTGACCAATTAGGAACTTAAATTTTAAATGTAAATGGTGACCAATTAGGAATATTAAATTTTAGCATTATTGTGAACTCATGGATTTAAGCACATTTCATGTGTTTCAGTCAGTTATGCTCATTATTCTTACTGATATTTAAACTGTCCCATTTTTGGCCAATGAGAGTCTATTCAATTGGCTCTTGAGAATGTTGAACATGGATTTTGTTTTTATTTATGATTGCTAATATCTTCTGTAGTAGTTTTTCCTCCATGCCATGTCACCAACAAATATAAGTGGTTTTGTCTCTTTCTTTCACTTCTAATTACTTTCATTTTTCTAATTTTCTTGGCTGATACTATCAACACAATGTGAAATAATAGTGAAAATAATGGGCAATCTTAAATCTTATTCTATTCCCAACTTTAATGGGAAAGCCTCTAATGTTTCCCCATTAAGTAAGATGCTGGCTTTTGGTCTAAAGTGTATGTTTTATCATTTTAAAGAAATAGAGATCCATTCCTATTTTACTGAGTGTTTTCAACACACACAAATGGATTTTGCCAATTTTGCTGCCTATTTTCAGTCACTGATAGCTCTAATGAGAATCCTGAATTGCCTATTCCAACTATATTAGGGAAATGCCATTGGTTTGCCTTTTCTGCATGCTGAATTAATTCTGTGTATTAAAAAAAGTATTTTCTCTACACTACCTAACACACTGTATAAAAAGACTACTTCTATGATGTCATTTCTTTATTCTAAAAACCCCATGATCATTTTTAACTGATCAACAATTCAGGGCCAGCTAGCTTCTATGATTCTAACCCTGCCATTCATCAAGTATCTAGTTGATCTTTTTCTTTTTTATACAGAGTCTCCCTCTTGTTGCCCAGGCTGGAGTGGAGTGCAATGGTGTGATCTCGGCTCACTGCAACCTCCGCCTCCCGGGTTCCAGAGATTCTCCTGCCTCAACCTGCCGAGTAGCTGAGATTACAGGCATGTGCCATCACACTCAGCTAATTTTTGTATTTTTAGTGGATACAGGGTTTCACCATGTTGGCCAGGCTGGTCTCAAACTCCTGACCTCAGGTGATCCACTAGCCTCAGCCTCCCAAAGTGCTGGGATTACAAGCACGAGCCACTGTGCCCAGCCAAGCTGATCTTGACTGATTATTTCATATCCATAAGCAATTATCACACAGAATCAAATACCTCTCTTCTTTGATAAAGACTTAATTTTGAAGAAATATATTGGACTTGACCAGAAGTTATATCTTAAAATTCCAAGTAAAATATTATAAAAGATTTAAAAATGTAATTCTTTATATACATACTGAAAGTTAGAAAATTACAGAAACAAACTACTTTGGTAGAAGGTCTTATAAGGAAGAAATTAAAAAATAATGTCAAGGGAAAAATGTGTGAACAAAGAAAAGATACAGTAGTTTCAGTGAGATGTATTTGAATAGAGAATAATCATTTCCTGTGTTTCAAATAGTCTCCTTTTACATTGCTGTGCACAGTAAAAGTTTATTATGCCTAAAGAAAATTATTATTTGTAAATTATGATCAGGAGTAAAGTGTCATAACGTCACCAACAAATTCTCTATTTAGGTTAGTGTCATGTTAATGTAACTATACCTGGGCCTGTTGGCTATATACAGAAATGGCTAGTCCATTTTTTCTTAGAATTAACATTCAGCAAATATTGATGGATCAATCAGGCTCTCCGGATTTCACTTTCTTCATCCACCTCACAGAAAATGTCAATGCCATTCATTCTCAGAACTCAAACTTACAGTTAACAAGGCTAAAAAGAGATGCTAAACAAATTCTCAAATAAAATTGGGAGGTTTTAGGTAATTATACAAGAGTTTTTCTTTGCCTTGTACATCATAAACCATTGTTATACATTTCTAAAAACATTTTCTGCCTTTTGGCATATTTAATCAAAATATTGAGGTGTCTTTAAATACAGCTAGAGCCAGAGGCTTCTCTTATTTAGAAAATTGCCACTCGATTATGCATGTTCATTTAAATATTGGATTTATCTCTACTGATTCATTGGATTTATCTCTACTCACATTCCTGAAGCACTACGTGTTGGGTAGGTGATTTTTAAAATTTTTAGTGAAATAAGAGAATGGGCTTGCCACACGTCTCCTCTTGTTTTCATTTATGAGATGTGCTTGCTTAATAAAGTAGAAATGCTGGAGGAGATGGTAAGTGCAAACTGTGTGGCAATTTGGCCAAATCTGAACTGCAGGGGGAAGGTGTGAAAAGGTGGATGAATGAATAAACTGGATGGGCAATTTGGGGTGAGTGCATTTGGGACACCACCTGCTAAACACTGAAGCCTATAGAAACATTGCTCGTGTGGAGAATGAAGAAGGGTAACCATGGAGCAGAATTAAGAATTGTAGATGAGTCCACTGGTTGGAGATAGTTAACACAGGGAATATACTGAAGTTACCAAAGTGAGGACAACTGTCTTGTTAGCACTTAATTAGGATGATAGGTATATCCCTGGTACCCTATCAGGCCTCTTTCTTACTTTTAAATTGTAAGAGTTGGGTTATTAGGCATGGTCTCTTTAATTACCTTTATATTCACTTGTCCAATAAAACTGATAACAGTCATAGTGTCCTTCAGACTCAAAACATTAACTCTACCAGCGGTGCAAATGAGTACGAGGGAGAGGACCCTGTTCACCTCTAATAGGGCTTTTCAACCAGCCTCCTCATCAACTCCACAGCCTGCTTATTGCTATGAGCCCTGAAGATCGGTAACAATTACATGAATACTGGGAAGGAAGACTTTACTTTTTGCCTCTTGTGCCCATTAAAAAGACCAATCTCACCCAAAACACATGTAAATGACTCAGGAGACATCTGAGAAAAGAATGCCTGTTCATACCATGAGGCAGTATCCAACATAAGGTCTACTCCTTAGCATATACCTTAAGTCAAAGTAATCAATTCTTTTGGCAATCAGCATTCTGAGGCTTCATTAATTGGCACTTAATTCTGGAATCCTAGAACCAGAAGGAATCTTATTGAATAATCTAATTTAAACCTCATCTCAAAGCAAATACTCTCTTCCTCAATCACATGAAATGGAAAATGAGATATGCTCAAAAAAAGAAAGGATTTCATTCATTTCTGTCAGCATTAGTGCTTATAGGTTAACCTTGACTTGGCTATAAGTCAATGATGAATAATACAGGTGCCAAGCTCCCTATGAGATGCTGTGGGGAATTGAAATGAATACACAATTCCTGGCCTCCAGAAATTTACTACGGAATGACAGAGACAGAGCAAACATAGGACATTAGGCATAACTAATTGTAAAAAGAACTTGCTACCCTCAGCACTGAACCCTCTGGCTCTAATGAGGTATTCCAGCGCCTACCCTGTGGCCAGGTTGCTGGATGTAGCTTCTTCGCTCAGCCACTATTGAGTCTTAGTTGAATAATCTGTCATGTTTATCCTTCAAGATGAGTTCTGTCACACCATGTAGTTAAGCCTGGCCCAGAAGAATTGTTGAGACAAAGGTAAAAAAGACACCTCAGATATGAGAAATTCCAGCCAAGGGATCAGAGAGGAGCTGAAAGAACAAGGGTTTTTAACCTTATGTTATTTCCCCAGTGGGGATGAATAAGCAGTACCCATCACACCATAAAGTACTTATTAATTGATCCTTCAATCTTTTATTTTTATTTAACACTATCCTATTTTTAAGGACCCCAGAAAGTTCTCCTACTTATTTTAGTCATTTTTATATATTTCTTTAATACTTTTAAAAGTCCTCCTCACAACTCTAAATATGAAACAATACATTTTAATAGCAGGAAAATAAAGTCCCAGTTCTTATGTGTGCAATAATTATGATTCTCATTGTAATTATGTAATTATGATTACTCATTGAGTTAGATAAGCCCAATGTAAGTACCTACCTGCAAATGAAGGAAATAGCACATTCATCAATGAGGCTCCTGCCTATAATTATGTGAGGGTGGAAGAGTATCATTTTATCACATCAAATAAGATGAAAACCTTGTTTCCAATAACTATTATGGAAAAAAATGTTGGGTACGCCTATGCTTAGTTGAAAACCTGAAACTTTAGTTCAAACAAAGTGTTAGCACATCATTAAAAGTAAAATATATTAATAATTTGTTCCTGTTCAAGTCACTAAACAGTATGTCACTGAAAAGATCTTTCAGATCCTTAACTATCCTTTCTGATATCTGTAGAGTGGCTGCTTTATCTACTAAACCTCATCTTGTTATAATCATGAGTGGTATAATTAACATTCATCTTGGAACACAAAGAATATTTAGGGATCCTTTTAGTCTACAAGTAGGAAATATAATAGGAGATCCTGGTACGCTAAATGACCTAAATTATCAAATTGTGGAACCCCTAGTGGCAGGGGGTGGCCTTGCTTTGAAATCCTGGTCTCCTCTAGGCTATAAGATCTCACTTGGAGCTAAGGATGTACTGGGACCTGTGTCCCTCTTCAGGACTCATAAATCAGGATCTCAAGAAGAAATAGAAGTCACCACACCTCCTCCAAAATTATTCAAATGAAGAGACTATAATAAAGGGAATAATTACAGAGCTCGGGGAAAGGTTAAAGGAACCAACAAAGTATGTTGAGGCACTGATAAGCCACAGAAGGAAGTCATTACTATGTATTTGGTTAAAGAAGAAAAGGGAGGAAATAGTGTTATCAAGATACAATGAAAACTGGAGCCACGAAGAAGGTTCTGACAGGCAAGGGCTGTATTTCAGCAACTGCCAAAGATGCGGTACCAAAGAGGGGAGGAGGTGGAGATGAAATACCCTGATTATCTCTCCTTCTGTCCTTTGATCTCCTGCCAGGGTTTCTCATTGGCTGAACCCAATCAGAATCTAGAAAGGGAGCAGTTTTCAGGGATCAGCCTCCTGGGTAAAAAGCAGTAAAAGAATAGATTGGGAGAAAAACAAACACAGAAGAACTAGCATGACCACTGAAGAGCAGGAAAACCAAGAGAAGGCAAAAACTGCATGGCCTTCCAGGCTGCTTTCTCCAAACTGCTAGACACTTCTGAGTGAATTCTTGAAAGAACTATATACTCGTATAGTTTTCTCTAGAAAACTGATGAAGCCATTCCAAATAATTCTGGCCTACACATGCAGGGAGTACTTGGAGATTTTAATCAGGACTTACAGAATCAGAAACAGCCAACAAATATAGTCCACTGGAGGCTGAATCGGGAGCCCAGAGTTTTGGGAAACACTGATCAACCAAGGACCTGGATGAAGGTGTATCTGACAGCATATTTCAGTGACCTACTGAAACTCAGAACAACTTTATATCTTTCCCCAGCTTCCAGACACCTCCATGGAATAAACTACCAGCATTTCAAACTAAATATGTACCAAAAGCAAACTTACCATTTCCCTTTCTGCCTAGACTCTCCCGTATCATCCTCACCCTGAGCCTTCCCCTCAACTGACACATACACACTCCCCAACAACCAAGAGTCTATTCTTCTTTCTGTCTTCCTTATTTGTAATAATGGACATTATAAAACTATCACCTAAGGAATTTATTGTCATGTCATTATTTTTTATTCCTCCCTGTGTACTGACATCTGGAGACTGATGCCTGTAAGAGCCAACCTCCCCCAACATGGCACCTGCCAAGAGTGACCACCAGTCACTGTGCTTAGCTCACCCCATTGTCTTGAAGCATTTTGGCCCTTCTCATTTTAAAATTTCCTTTCTCACTTCTGGATCCCAAGGACTGTGTTATATCTGTTAATTCAAGACCCGGCTTCAAGACACCTTGATTCAACTGAGGGCATCATTTACACCTGCCATCTGCACTACTCTTGGTTTTCGGCATCTCCATGGTAATAAATACCCTGTCTGGACTGACCCAGAAACTTCCCTCATATATCTGATTTCTCCTTCCAAGTTTGCTCCAGCCTAGATAAGCAGAACTGAACAATTGCCTCCTAAAACCAACCAGCTCCCAAATCCCATAGATTCTACATAAGCAAATTTCTAATTTAAAATAGTTTTTTTAAAAAAATGTTGTGAGTTCTTTTTCTCTTCTATTATCATGTGAATGGTAGCATCTACACAAAGTTGCCATTTAAATCAAACTAAGGAGTTTGCTCTCAAACTTCCCTGTGTGAGGTCACTACAGCAGGGATAAGAGACTTTCTTGGTCAGTAGTTCTCAACTTGGGCTGAACTTTGGCACCACCTGAGGATTATGGGGAAAAAATATCAAAGCTTGGGTCACAGCACCCTGGTTTCTAATTCCACTGTGCTGAGTATGGTCTAGGTAAAGGGATTTTTAAAAGCTCTTCCCACCGTTTGATTCTGATGGAACAGTCAAAGTTAAGAACTACTACTATAGGCTCAGCAAGTGTCTCCATCCCTTCTGCAATGGGTGTGATTAATTACATAAATGCATGGGGTTATTATGACATCAAATACATCACATATATGAAACTGACTTTCACAGTGCCTGGCATATGGTAGGTGCTCAATGAATGTGTTTTCCTATTCTCCTGCATCCTTCCAGACTCCTCCCTAAAAATGCCTCTGCAGTTTTAAGCCTCTCTGGAAGAGACCACATTCTTTTTAGGTGACAGCTATGTTATCAAATAATGTTCAGGCAGAAACAAACCACTGAAAAGGAAAATTACTTAGAGATTAGAGAAGAGTGACAGCAAGAATGAGAAAAGTGTTGTTCTCAGGAAAAATGGATGAATACCAAAAATTAGGTTTACCTGATTCAGACTCCTAACTGATTGTCAATCTCTTCAAAAAAAGCCAAAACTGTTTGTAGTGCATGGAGATTTTTCCTTGGCAGTCAGTTTGCTTCTCAAAAGTTCTACCATTATGGACTCAGAATTGTCAATTAATGCAAGCATCTTTAAAGTGCCACTTAATGATGAGAACACATGGACATATAGAGGGGAACAACACACACTGGGGCCTGTCAGAGGGTGGGAAGAGGGAGAGAAACAGAAAAAAAAAATAACTACAATAAAGGGCCATTTAAGATGCATCAGAAAACCCTTCTTTCTATCTCATTCCCTCATACCTACTAAAGGCACCTCTCATTCCTCAGTGTGCTGGTCAAACCCTATGTCTTCCAGGAAACTCTCCTAGATCCTCTGGGGTAGAATTATTCTCTCCCTCCACCTTACCATTGTGACTCTTCATTTATGAGCACATAATAACTTATCATTAGAGACATTTGTGTGTGTGACAATCTCTGACAAACTATGATGCTAGAAGGCAGGGACCAGAACTGTTCATCTTTGTATCCCCCACCATGTACAAAATAGTGTCTGAAACATAACAAGTGCTAGATCATTGTTTGTGGAGTTTAAGAGTGTGATGATCTATATATAATGCGATATACACATTCCTAAAAATCACTGCCCTATGCAATATCTTGTAATATAAACCACAGGGCATCTGAGAAAATATGGGATTAGGTGCCATGCATGTCAGTGACACATAAAAACAAGACAAGAACCTGGAAAAAAGAGTAGCACACATTAAGTGGTTAAGAAATACACAAATACTGCAGTAACTATTGCACTTTACTTGAACAAAATCCGAAGTTTGCTTGCAGAAGTGGGTGTCTGGAAGGGTTGTAGCTTGTGAGTCATTGTAAAGTGTTGAAAGAGGATTTTCCAAAATCAGAAAAACAAAAATGTTGTTAACAGTAGATGTGAAGGGGAGTGAGGGCAGTGGATCATAATACACCCAAAGACTTTAGTTAACCGGGAGACATTTGAGGTGCACAGGGTGGGCTTTGTGTATTCCTTTGATGTAAGGGCCAGCTGCAAGGGCTGTAGTTTTCTGTGTTTACCTAGTGCTTCTGAGGATGAAATTGTACATTTATGAACATGAACTTCATATCATGTTCAAATTCTTTCTTTATATATTAATCGTGTTGAAGCCAATTCACATTTTCAAAGTGTAGCAGAATCGACTTACCATATTTTATATACAGTGTGAAATGTTATTGATTTTGAATTGAAAATCGTCAGAAAGCTTTACATCAAAACACATTCTCAAGGTTACAAATCAAAAATGAGGGCTATGATCTCTTTTCAAGATGTAATTAATGTAGGTAAATCACTTAGACTCACCCCATTCTTCTTTTTCATTCTCTAAAATGGAGATAATATGTTGTCTTCTTACCAGACAGGTGCAGTGTGAAGACTGGGTAATATTCCACAGACCACTGAAGATGAAAGTCATTTAGATAAACTCTGAGGAATGAGCTTTTATAAGCTTCATAACAAAGTCATATTCTTTGCATATCAAAGACTGAGTTTTGTCAACAGATATGTTTGTAATGTCTATAAAAAGTTTAGTAGTTGAATGAAAGTCAACATTTTCATATAAAGTATACAGGTCCAGTGGTGCATTGCTTAAAGAGAAATCACTTCCAATTACTTTGTTCATGTCTAGCAATAGCCAGCTGTTCATGCAAAATAATCCCCAACTTGTTCCTATGGCCCTATTAAACGAGTGAGAACGTGACATCATACTGCAGATTCTCATTTACAAGTGAGAGCTAAATGATGTGTACACATGGACATGGAGTGTGGAATAATAGACATTGGATACTTGGAAGAGTGGGAGGATGGGAGGGGAGTAAGAAATTAGACAGTACTTAATGGGTACAATGTATATTTTTTGTATGACAGTTGCACTAAAAGCCCAGACTTCACTGCTATGCAATGTATCCATGTAACAGAGCTAAACTTATACCCCTTACATTTATACAAATAAGAAGATGGGAAAAAAAGGAAATGGCATTATATATTCTTGGCAATATGGTTATGCAACAGCTTCTTCTGCCTTAAGTTTCTACTCCATTTAACACTGTTTTTAAAGGATATTTTAAATGATCACCCTTGACAGAAAAAGACATAATAAAGGTGTTTTAAAGTGGAGATATCAAGTAGGTGATTTGAGGAGAAATATAAAATCTAACTCTGAAAACATCTATCTCTGAGAAAACTAATAAGCAAATGAACTGAATTGTACATCAGGTAAGACATCCACTCTCCACCTTCTTCTTTGAACTGAAATCTGGCTTACTGCCTGCAAATTCACTTTTCCTGCAGCCCGACCATGAGACTGATTTTTCTCCTGGTGCCCCATTCTGCACTATCTGTATGTCCAAGAGGCATCTCCACTCCCCACGCAGTAGAAGGTATTTCTTCCACCTCACGTAACTATCCCTCTTCTTTGACATTAATGAAACTTGGTTCCAGCCTCTTTTACTCCACATCCCTTGTCTTCCACTGAACCTTCTGACACTAATTCCACATTGAATTCAAGACTTTGGTGCCCAGTCCCAAAATACATCTCTGTACTCCTGCTTTTGTGTTGTCCCAGGGAACCTGAACAAACAAGTGGACAATCCGTTTGTACCTTTGCCTCAGAGCCCCAACCTCTGATTTCAATGAAATTCAGCTGAACTTCTATGCTCAATTCCAAACCTGAATGGCATTTCCTAACCCAGAACCACACCACTTCCACAAGATTCAACTCTTCAGTAGTTTCCCATGGCTGCTGTAACAAATTAATACACATGAACTTGGTGGCTTAAAACAGCAAAACCTTTTTTGTCTTGCAGTTCTGGAGGCTAGAAATCAAAATCAGTTTCACTTGCCTTTTTCAGCATCTTGTTGCCTATGTAGATGTGTATGTACGTGTACATATCCGTATACAGGCTTACCTCAGAGATACGGTGGGTTTTGCTCTAGATCACGGCAATAAGGCAAGTATTGCAATAAAGTGAGTCACATGAATATTTTGGCTTCCTGGTACATATGAAAGTTATGTTTACACTATACTGTAGTCTATTAATTGTGCAATAGTATTATATCTGAAACACAATGTACATACCTTCATTTTAAAATACTTTATTGCTAAAAATTGCCAACGGTCATCCAGGCCTTCAGTGACTCATAATCTTTTTGCTGCTGGAGGGTCTTGTCTCAATGCTGATGGCTGCTGATTGATCAGGGTGGTGGTTGCTGAAGGTTGGGGTGGCTGTGGCAATTTCTTAAGATAACACAACAATGAATAACACACAATGCCTCTTCCTTTCATGAAAGATTTCTCTGTAGCATGAGATGTTGGTGGATAGCATTTACCCACAGTAGGAATTCCTTCAAAATCGGAGTCAGTTCTCTCAAACCCTGCTGCTGCTTTATCAACTAAGCTTATGTAATCTTCTAATCCTTTGTTGTGATTTCAGCAATGTTCACAGCATCTTCACCAGGAGTAGATTTCTTCTCAAGAAACTACATTCTTTCTTCACCCATAAGAAGCCACTCCTCATCCATTAGTTTTATCATGAGATTGCAGGAATTCAGTCACATCTTCAGGCTCCACTTCTAATTCTAGTTCTCTTGCTATTTCTACAATATCTGCAGGTACTTCCTCCACTGAAGTCTCAAACCCCTCAAAGTCATCCAGGAGGGTTGAAATAAACCTCTTCCAAATTCCTTTTAATGTTGATATTTTGAGCTCCTCCAATGAATCATGAATTTTCTTAGTGACATCTAGAATGGTGAATCCTTTCCAGAAGGTTTTCAATTTTCCTTTCCCAGACTTATCAAGGGAATCACTGTCTATGGCATATAAGAAATGTGTTTCATATATATATGTATGTGTATATATATATGTAATTCATACATATAAGAAATGTATTTCTTATATTTCATAAGGTTATAGTATTTCTTACCATATCATAATCCTTTGACCCATGGACTGCAATATGAATGTTGTGTTAGCAGGGATGAAAACAATATTAATATCCTTGTAAATCTCCATCAGAGCTATTGGGTGACCAAGAGCCTAATCAGTGAGCATTGTCAGTGAGCAGTAATATTTTAAAAGGCATCTTTTTTTTGAGCAGTAAATCTCAACAGTGGGTTTACGATATTCAGTAATCCATGCTATAAACAGATGTGTTGTCATCCAGGCTTTGTTGCTCCATTTATAAAAGTACAGGCAGAGTAGATTAAGCATAATTCCTAAGGGCCCCATGATTTTTTAAATGGTAAATGAGTATCGATTGTCTTCAACTTAAAAGTCACCAGGTGCATTAACCCCTGGAAATGTTGTGGCTGGTTTCATCTTCTATCCAGGCAACTGAAACTCCTTCTCATCTGTCAAGTCTCCATATAGTGCTTAATTTCTCCAGAAACCTCACCCCACCCCCAGAATGCACTTGCACACATACATCCATTTCTGTATCTTAGGCCAAGCTACATGGGGCATGTGTTTATCTTGGTTCTTGTTATATTCATTGCCTTTTTTAGTTTTTTAAAAAAATTTGATACATGTTTCTGTTCAAGCAAATACAAAGAGAAAGAGAATAAATTTTTTAAAATCTCCCAAATTTTCATAAGTAGAAATTATCGTAGTAATCCAAATTATGGAAGGAGTAAGTGGAGGGTGAATGTGGATGAGATTCATGTACTGGGTTGGAGTATGCACTGACGAGACAACTTCTGAGGTCCTGCCCATAAAATATTCTATAATTCTAAAATAAATACTACATTTTAGTCTGCTTGATGGTTTATAATTCGGTTCTTTTTGTAAACTATTTCCTTAAAAACAAAAGTCTTGGCACACACCAGAACCATTGTCTCACCTCCTTGTGGAATTTTCTCACAGCGATTGGAAAAGCCCAATCCTGTATGCTGCATCTATGAGGATATTTGCTTTGAATATCTATCAAGCTATTCTGAGACATTGCTCAGGATAAGCTAGGATATGCTCAAGTATACACAAGCAGACCTTGAAATCTTGGTGAGTTAATATACAACCCAATGCAAGTCCAGAGGCTTTCTTGGGCAGCTCCCCTCAAAGCCATGACTCCAGGACTCTTACATTGTTTTTGTTTGTTTGTTTGTTTGTTTTTCATGGATTCTCACTCTGTCGCCCAGGCTGGTTCCCAGGCTGGAGTGCAGTGGCACAATCTCGGCTCACTGCAACCTCTACCTCCTGGGTTCAAGCGATTCTTCTGCCTCAGCCTCCCACGTAGCTGGGACTACAGGTGTGCAGCACCACAGCCAGCTAATTTTTGTATTTTTTTTTATACTAGAGACAGGGTTTTACCATGTTGGTCAGGCTGGTCTCAAACTCCTGACCTCATGATCCGCCTGCCTCGGCCTCCCAAAGTGCTGGGATTACAGGCGTGAGCCACTGCGCCCGGCCGACTCTTACATTCTTAACAAATGGTCTCTGTAGTCAGCACAAGAAGAGGAAATGAGAACATGGAGGATATGGAGGGAGGTTTATGAAAAGGCCCAGAGTGAAGACGTGTCACATGTGATCACCAAGTGACCATAATATAGTCACACGGTCCAGCCTAGCTACCACAAGGGCTGGGAAACAGTCTTCCTACCAGCCCAAGAAGAGGGAATGAGATTGGGAAACATCTAACCATCTGTTGTATATTTTTGGTCCATTTAATTTCCCCTATACATTGTAGCATTATGAAAATCAATTCCTGATTTCTCATTTTATAAGGAGCATTGTGTGAACTTCATGGGGCCACTGAGACTAAAATGACCCAAAGCTCAAGCTTAATAAACATCAGTTATTAATTGGTTCACTCTTTATTCCATGTATAATTTTGTAGGGCTTGGTAACAAGTACCAAAATAACTATAACAGCTTAGTAAAATAAGAAAGTATTCAAATTTTTAATTATAATTGTATTGTATTAATAGTCTCCTTCAATTAATTGTATTAATGGCTACCTTGAAGTTATGTGTAATTAACAAAATGGAAAGCATTCTTTGAGATAATGACACTTCACACAATGTATCTCTTTAGTGTGTCTGTTATACATTTCCTCTTATTATAACTTTGTAACATTCATTGCTTCATGCCAATAGCCAAGCATTTAGAAGTCAGTGTTGCTTGTGTTATCCATACTGGTCAATGAAGTGCACTAAGGCAGTTTGCTTCTTCAGCAAGAAAAAACTTAAAGATTTGGACTACAATTTAATATTAGGTTTGCCTTTTAAGACAAGTGTCAAGGAGCCAACTTCATTTTCTTTTCCTATACTAAGGAAATGAACTTATTCTCCTCAAAAATGACTTGAGGCAAAAGACATTAATGGTTCTTCTATTCTCAGATTAGAAGAAAGTAGAAGACCACATGAGTACCACATGAGATCAACTAGTCATTTCCTGAGACTCTGGTTTGGATTCACAAATAATAAAATGGGAAATAACTGTATTTTTTCATTTATTGGTTATGATAAAGATATTTGCATAATAAGATATTTTATATGTATGTACCATCTACTAGGAGGTTATTTCTTAGTGAAAGATGTGAAGGTTATCATTGTCCTGCATTTCACTCATTGAAAATTGACTGTTTCATTTGCTATATGTTCATTCATTCCATATTTCTGAGATATACATCCTGTTCCTAAACAAAATTGAAAATTTTATATCAGTTCTTAAAGTGTTATATTGATATTCCTTTCAAAAGTTATTAATTCTGATATTTTACTATATAGAATCAATATGTTTACAGTCTATTTTTCATGTGATCCCTTACAGATTTTATAGAGTACTATAATAACAATAATATATAATGTACATATAATTATATAATGCTTTCTAAGTGTTAGAACTACTCTTCTCAACAGCCCTATGGGTTATGTAATTATTCCTGTTTTACAGATAAGGAAATGGAGGAACAAAGCAGTGAAGTAATCTGTCCAAAGCCCAAAAGTTGAATTGTTGAAACTGACATCTGAAAGCAAGTAGCCTGGCTTCAGAGTATATGCTTTTAATCGCTGTGTTATATACTGCCTCTTTATATGTGATAATATAGTATATTTATTAAGTTATTAAAAGAAACATAAGTTTCTTTGTTGCCAATTCAGAGTCCCAAACATAGTTCCAAATGAGCTCGAATTGCCTTTGTGTCAAAAACTACCTATCCTCAACCTGTCTTGCAAACGCTCTAATTTTACAGCTCTTGTTTTCTCCACACTTTAGTTGATTTTGGTGATTAAAGAGAACTGTTCACCTACAACAAAAACAAAAACATTTCTGCCGATAGCAAGAAGTGACAGCTGAAACAGCATTTAAAGTACATCTTGAATAAATGTTCAAAAGCGTAGCCTTAGGGCAATTTCCTGTTTTACTGGAAAATCTACTTTGCTAGTGTCTGATAAAATTGTATGAACAGTAGAAGCTTAATTCTCCAAGGCATGTTCTATGAAGCATCTGACAGCTTATCTGATGAAATCTAGTCTACTACCAGTTCAGAGAGATCACGTGCCCCTCACAGAGGAAGCCCCATTGGAATGGCTCTTGTAGCCTTGGGGCTGATGTTATTAGTTCCTAAATGAAGTGATTAGTGTTTCTTTGACTTATTTTCCAGCAACTGTACATATGCTTGACAAGCCAAAGGTTTTCCATCTTGTACAATCAATCTACTGTTGAAAATGACTTGCTTGTGTGAGGAAATATTATTAGGGCCATTTAATACTTTAAGCCATCCAGGTGATTCAATAAATTTAGACAAAATTAAGTCATTACTTACATGAGATTGAATGAAGTGTTACAATTAAATGTCTCACTTTCTGTAAACTATGGCAGGAATAAGCCACCATTCGTAAATGGAAAGCCAAGGGGACAGCTCAATGCCTCAAGTCTGCCACGAGGTGGTAGAAGAGAGTATGATTTTAAAAAAATGTGTCCTATCTAAAGTATGATCTATGCCAAGTATACTAGCTTATTCTGAGCTTCACTGTCAAAGCTTATGGTGACATATATAACCACTATTGGAGTCTTTGCACTCTAGGTAGTTGCTCAAGTTTCTCTCTCTCTCTCTCTCTCTCTCTCTGTGTGTGTGTGTGTGTGTGTGTGTGTGTGTGTGTGTGTGTGTGTACTTTTTCACATCAAATCCTGATCAGTACTGATCAGCCTGGTTAAAGAAAATATTTATGACCTGATATAAATGTGATCCTTCAAAAAATGATTTGAAATATAGCCTTTGGGCTAAGGCATCCCAGCACCAAGCTAGACAACAAAACAGCATCATTTTGGGGTCCTTGTAGAATTGTTCTTGGTGGTTCTCATAACATTATTTTTAGGGTCCCTATAAGTTTATGTTTTACCCACTCTGGCTTATATGTGCTATAACATTATAAGGGAAAACATGAAAATTTTGATGATATTTACCATATAGATGCTGTAGAGGATATTATTCCTCACATCACACAGTTTCTTCCTTCTGAGAAAAGCCAAGAATACTTCTCTGGGGTCCCAACATTATTCTGCTTTTGAATCTCTGGTTAGTTCTTGTCTTGTGAATACTGTGAACGTTGTAATTATTCTTCCTCTTCCAGACAATGGAATGCCAAAATTGCAGCTCACCCCTAGAAAATGCAACAAAGATTCCCATAGGCATTTTGTATAATCTGATCTCGTGCCTGGCTTCATACAACATTTTTAATCTGATCTACTCTTGGGATGTTTCTACTCTTCCACTTATTCAACCAAGAATGGTATCCATTAAATTTCTATAGAGCATGTCAGGGTATAAATAAATGAATGGCTAAATGTCCTAGGGTTAAGCCTATCTGTCAGTCACACTCCAAGGTGATTCTCATGAAGGCATGACTAAGATGAGGATGAAAATGAAGACACAGATTCTGAGCCTTATGAAGACCTGATAAAGCCAATGACACAAAATTCCTTCATTTACTGGCTCTGCAATGACAAGGAAATTACTTAACTTTCCTGAGTTTTCCCATTTCCACATTTTTAAGTGAGAAAAAATATATTTTTTGTAAATATTAGATGAGATAATTCATTCATTTATCCTACCAGTAGAGTAGCTACTACACTATGTATAACAAACTATTCCACATGCTGAACATAGGACAGAAGACAAGACAGGAAAGGGCCCTACTCCTCTCAATGAACATTCTTATGGGGGGAGACAGAAAATAAACAAGTAACCAATAAACAAACAAGATAATTTCAAACAGTAGTAAATGCTATGAAGGCTGTGATAGATAAATTGGTTGCATGAGTCTTGTTGAGAAGGTAACATTGAGCTAAGACCTAAGTGATGAGTAGCATCAGTTATATGAAGGAGAGGGAAGCGTGGTTTAGGTAAAGGCATTAGCAAATACAATGGTTATGAGATGGAAACACACTTGTTACCATCAAACAACAGAAAGAAGGCCACTGAGGCTGATTATGTTGAGTGGGGACAGAAGGCTTGAGAAAGAGAGAAGATATATATGTCACTTGCTCTGTATTCAGCATATAGTCAGTTGTCATATGTGGTAAATGTCAATTGTTGTGTTGTACTATTTTTAAGTAAAGATTGGAAAAGAGATTGCGTACGGTTATGTTTACCACTCTTAGAAGGGAAAAAAAAAACCTTAAAATTCCTAAGTTCTGCCATGAACCAACATATGAAGCAGAAAGCAAGAAAGTGGGGCAATGTTAACTCCCTAAAGAGGCAGCCAGGATTTGTTCTCTGAGCATGAGCATAAAGCAGGGGCTGTGATCAAAGTACCTAAAGGTGTCATCAATACACCTCCAGAGCCCACTCCAAAGCCCTGATATTCCAAAGAGCCAGACTCTTAATCGGGATACAAAACTAGGACTGAAGTGGGTTCTTCCTCAGTCCACTCATTCAGTAGAAGCTGCTTCATCAACATGGAGTCAACTGAACTCAATTTCCCCTTCTCAAAAAAGCAATAGAAAATAACTATAATACAGCTTCTCCTTTTCAGGTATTTGATAACTACTAAGGAGACAAGAACATATGCACAAGAAAAAATGAAAAATTACTACTGTGCAATGGGAAAGCTCACTACCCTCTGCAAAGGCTGAACATATTATTATATGTTGCATCATGCCATGGTGTACTACCCCCTCACTAACTCTGTATATAATCATCCTTTAGAAAGGCAATAGCTATTTATTACATTAATTACCACAATCATAAGGGAACTTTTAGAGAATACGTAGTCTTTTGGTCATTTCTAACCATTTCAACTACAGCCATCATCCTAAATAGCCTCAAATTCTCAAGCAGCATTTGTTTGCTCAATGAGAAAAGTACAGTGACCAAATCTATGTGGCTGAACTGTCAGCAACAACTAGAATTTGGTCAGATTCTTCCTTTCTGATATCTAGAGGGTAGGTTTTTCCCAAGGGTGAATAAGCTCTGTGCTGAAAGACTTCTGATCTCTACCCAGAAAAGCAAAGCAACAATTAAAGTGTCACTGCTCACATATGGTTACACTTCAAGCTACAGAAGCTTGTAGCTCCCAGATAGCCCCAGGAACTTCAGAGCAGAGTGTTTTCCCAACACTCTTCCCTCAACAGTGTTTCGAGAGCCCCGAAAGCATGTCTTGCTGATGTTTAGTGGAATCTGATGCTCTGCAGCTGAGTTCTTTTTACCAGCCATTATGCTTCACAAGCTCATCAGAAAATACAGCAGGATTCCCCTCAATTCCTAGAGTAGATACAAATGTGGAAAAAAGAATTTTATTTATTTTCCACTCTAAGGAAAATTTAGAGAAAAGATAAGTAGTAGAGACAGGACAAAAAAACAAAACCAACAGGCCTCTCTGCTTATGTGACTTCCTGATATCTACGTGACTTTTTATGTGATAAGAACCATCTGGCATTTGTCGGACAGTTGGGCTTGGCATTTGGGTTTTGTTTCTCTGTTGTTGTTATTGTTGTTCATTTTATGTAGCATAAACGCAGTTAGAGTGGCCCTTGATATCTTGCTTTTAACATTCTCCTCTAAAACCTTAGAACTTTCACATGGAGGACATAAAACTGATTTATCGTGAGTTTCTGAAAACAAACTTTTGTTGATTAGCATTCTGTAGAGAGTTTGGTGAATTTGCTTTGGTCATTTAAAGCTGAAGAGCAAATGAAATGAAGACCAAAACTAGACTTTAAAAATTTCATGTGATCATTGATTCACCTACAACAACAAATACATTTAGTTGAGTCTTACAAGAAAATGTCAAGAAGCTAACACCAGCACATTAATATTTGTAAAAGCCTGCAAATTTTTAGAAATTCCAAATATTTCCTTTAGTTATAATTTGCCATGGGAATAAAAAAAGAGTTTTTCTTCCAAACACACAATATGTGATTTTCTTCCAAACACACAATATACTTTGTAAAGATGAGTCCTTTGAATAGGACTTGATTGATATCAAGACTTAGCATTTGCCACTGGATTTGCCCCTGCACCTCAATGTGATCAGAGCTCCAGGATTTAGTAACATGGTGGACTTGCATAGTTTATATGATGAATAACTTCTTTTCAAAGCACAGACAAAAAATGAAAAGTGGGTAGACAGGCTTTTTCAGAGTTCACAAGTTTTTTCCATCCCTCTCTGCTCCTTAGCCAAGAACGTCAATACAGGCTCTGAACATGTGTTTCTAGAACTTCATATTTTCTTCATGTAAAAACAACTTAGAGCAATTGCATGTGAATTTACATCACCTGGTTTTCAAGTAGTCTTCTCATCATAAGCTCAAAATCTTCCTCACAGACTAAACCAAAACTTTGCTTCACAAACTTGGGCAGGATTCAAAACATAAATCACAGGTGCCTGTCAAGTTCATGTAAGCAGTTGAAGGCTCCCCAGGAGCTCATGCACAGAAAACCTGCCTAATTCCAGGAGCAGAAAGAGAGCCCAGCTCCATTCAGTGTGTAGGTTTGCTTTCCTTCTGCACAACTCAGACAATCCTAAGCAAAGCCTGCCTCCTTCCTCTTCACAGAGAGTCAGCTGAATGTAACAAACACAATTTAGGCAAAAATGGGTTGTAACCTTGTTCAAGGGATGCCTTGGAGCACATCTTGTGTCTACAGATTCATGTACCTCCATGAAACAAGAAGCAAAAGAAGCAGCCCAACCAACAACTCTTTCAGGAGAGAAATTGCTTCCACAAGAGCTCAGGGAAGTAGCTTCCTAAAAGGTCATTGTTTGCCACTGGGAACAGAAGTCCTCCTGAGCAATGGCCCTGGAGGAACAGTACTCCACAACAGGACAGGCTGCTGGAAAGAGTCTCAGAGCTGGTTGTGGAGAACAGTGAGGGCTCAATCACATCCTGGTCAATCAGGCAAAAGGGGTAGGAGCTCAGCCACTCCAAAAGTTGTTAAGGACTTGAATTCGCCAGCTAAAAATATACTATGCAGAAAGAAAAGAGCAATGGGGAAAATGGAGAAGCTCGAAAGAGATCTCAAAGTTAAGATCCATAGCAGCCCCCACAGAGGTCTTTCACTTTGTTTACACACTGGTAAATGAGAATAAGAATGAGTTCTCCCTTCCCTCAACCAAATGGAAGCTACAGCACCCAGAAGTGAGTCAAGAAGTTATCTAGTAGGAAATTCTCTTTGAGAATTAAAAGTGTCCTCCTTCTCCTTTCCCTCTAAAATAAAGAAGTATTATTTGTAAAATCAGAAAATAAAAGGAAAGAGGAAGAAGAAAGAAGAAAAGAGAGATATACAGAAGGATTAAGAGAAAGATGAATATCATTCTTCACAGAACTAGGAAAAACAGTCCTAAAATTTATGTGGAACCAAAAAAGAGCCCACATAGCCAAAGCAAGACTAAGCAAAAAGAACAAATCTGGAGGCACCACATTATTCGACTTCAAACTATACTACCAGGTTATAGTTAACAAAACAGCATAGTACTGGTATAAAAATAGGCACGTAGACCAAAGGAATAGAATAAAGAACCCAGAAATAAAGCCAAATACTTATGGCCAACTGATCTTTGACAAAGCAAACAAAAACATAAAGTGAAGAAAGGACACCCTATTCAACAAATGGTGCTGGAATAATTGGCAAGCCACACGTAGGAGAATGCAACTAGATCCTGATCTTTCACCTTATACAAAAGTAACTCAAGATAGATCAAAGATTTAAATCTAAGATCTGCAACCACAAAAACTCTAGAAGATAACATTGAAAAAACTTTTCTAGACATTGGCTTAAGCAAGGAGTTCATGACCAAGAACCCAAAGGCAAATGTAACAAAAACGAAGATAAATAGATGGGACTTAAACTAAAAAGGTTCTGCACAGCAAAATAAATAGTCAGCAGAGTAAACAGACAACCCACAGCATGAGAGGAAATATTCGCAAACTATGCATCTGACATAGGACTAATATCCAGAATCTACAAGGAACTCAAATCAGCAAGAAAAGAAATCAAAGAATCCCATCAAAAAGTAGGCAAAGAACATGAATAGACAATTCTCAAAAGAAGATATACAAATGGCCAACAGACATATGAAAAAAGTGGTCAACATCACTAATCATTGGGAAAATGCAAATTAAAACCACACTGAGATACCACCTTACTCCTGCAAGAATGGCCATCATTTTAAAAAATTAAATAAATAAATAAATAAATGCTGGCATGGATATGGTAAAAAGGGAACACTTTTATACTGCCAGTGGGAATGTAAACTAGTATAACCTCTATGGAAAACAATATGGAGATTCCTTAAAGAACTAAAAGCAGAACTACAATTTGATCCAGCAATCCCACTACTGGGTATCTACCCAAAGGAAAATAAATCTTTATATGAAAAAGACACTTGCACACATATGTTTGTAGCAGCACAATTCGTAACTGCAAAAAATGGAACCAGTCTGAATGCCAACCAACCAACGAGTGGATAAATAAAATGTGGTATATATACACCATGGGATACTACTCAGCCTGGAAAAGGAATGAATTAATGGCATTTGCAGCAACCTAGATGGAGTTGGATACTATTATTATAAGTGAAGTAAGTCAGGAATAGAAAACCAAATATCATATGTCTCACTCGTAAGTGGGAGCTAAACAATGAGGATGCAAAGGCATAAGAATGAGATAGTGGACTTTGGGGACCCAAGAGTAGGGTGGGAGGGGGATGAGGGATAAAAGACTACACATTGGGTACTGTGTACATGCTTCAGTTGATGGGTACACCAAAATCTCGGAAATCACAACTAAGCAACTTATCCATGTAACCAAAACCAGCTGTTCCTCAAAAACTATTGAAATAAAATTTAAAAAGAGAAAGATGAGCAGAGTAAAAGAGAGGGAGAGAGAGAGAAAATAGAAACAGAGAGAGAGAGAGAGAGAGAGAGAGATTGCATCACTTTAAAAAGAAAACAATCAAATAATTTCTTCCAGGAAAAGAATTCTGAGCACAGTGGCTGTTAACCTCACTCAACTTGGATGAAGCAGAAGCCAACATTTTAAAATTGAGCTACTTTTTATTTCTCCAGGATAAAAGAAATCCAAGGAGATAGAAGTCCATCCCTTTGGCATGAGCTTCAGTGTTCAATGACATATGTGTCCACACAACTTTCTGATAACACTTTAGAGAAGGAAGACAAGTGACAATACTATTTATCGGTCCGTTTGCATATGCAATTTCAGTAAATTCTAGCAGCAATTTCTTGACACAGTCATTAATATTTCTACTTCATATACAAAGAAACCAAAATTCAAAAGGTTGATTTAGTGAAGGTAGTACAGCTGGAAGAGCAAGGATTTGGACTCAGACCATATAGACTTGGAAACTGGGTAATCTCTTTATCCCCTTGCTACCTGTGGGCCTGACCATCTTATTCAAGAACCATCTCCAGGATTCATTTATTTTATGAATTCAAGCTTCATGCAACCTAACCGAGACCTTAAAGGCTGGCAACTCAGCTATTTTAATATTAACATTAGTACGTTGTTAACCTTAAGAAGAATATTATTGGGTTTTTGTTTTTGTGATTTTTTGAATCAATGCATTTTTTAACTTTTAAGTTCAGCAGTACAAGTGCGGGTTTGTTACATAGGTAAACTTGTGTCATGGGGTTTGGCATCAGTGTATTTGTTAGCCAGCTGCTAAGTTGCTAAAAAATATGTTTTCTCAATTCATCCCCACCACTATACTTCAGTCACACTTGCCCAGGTGGCCAGTGGTTCCATCTTGCCAAATCCAGTTATTAAGGGAGTTCTTATCCCATTTAACATGCTTGATAACATTTGATAAACTGTTGGTTATTTCTTCCATTTTGAAAGTCTTTATTCACTTGGTTTCCAGAACACTATATGGCATGGTTTTCCTTCTGCCTTAGCAAATGTTCCTCTGCAGTCTCATATGTGGGCAATTTCTCTTCCTGACCTCTAAACATTGTAGCACTCCAGGGCTCAGCTCCCTGCCTGTTTCTTTATCCATATCAACTCCCTAATTGATTTTATCTGCTGCCTCAGCATCAAATATCATCCATATGCACCAGTTGCTAGCTCTCCCATGAGCTCCAGATTTATATTTTGAACTTCCTAGACATCTTCCAATAGGTGTCTAATCGGCAGCTCAAAGTCCACATATCCAAAACAAAACCTTTGATCTCCCCTCAATTTCTAATCCTCCTTCAATCTTTACGATTTTTGTCAATGGGACCAGAATTTATTCACGTGCATCACCTAAAATTTCAGGAGTCATCTTTAAGTTCTTTTTTTCTGACACACCATATTGAATTCAATTATATTACTTCAGCTCAACCTTAAAAATTATTTCTAGAATCCAAATATGTCTCCAGCCTCTACTGCCATTGTCTTAATCTCAGATACCATCATCTCTCACATATTCGACTGCAGCAATGCCCATGCTCACTTCCAGCTTCCTCTCTTACAGCTTTAGAGTCTATTCCAATTACACTATGAATAAAATCCAACCCCTTGCCATGGCCTACAAGCTCCTACATGATCTTGCCCGGCCCATCTCTATAATCTCGTGAACCTCCTCCCATTCTTCCCTCCCTCAAATCCTTCCAGTAACAACCTCTTCCCGTTTTCTATTAAACTCACAAACTCATTTCTTCCTCAGGGCCTTTGCACTTGCTATTCTCTCTGCCTTGACTTCTCTTCCACCAAATTTCATAAATTTATTCTCTCTGTTTTTGTATGTGAGAGACAGACTCTCACTCTGTTGCCCAAGCTGGAGTGCAGTGGCACAATCTCAGCTCACCACAACCTCCACCTCCCAGGTTCAAGCAATTCACCTGCCTCAGCCTCCCAAGTAGCCGGGATTACAGGTGTGAGCCACCACCTGGTTAATTTTTGTATATTTTAAGTTGAGACAGAGTTTCACCATGTTGGTCAGACTGGTCTCAAACTCCTGTCCTCAAGTGATCCACGCGCCTCTGTCTCCCAAATTTGGTGGGATTACAGGTATGAGCTACCATGCCTAGCCAA